>NT_187679.1:300000-555799 GCF_000001405.40 Homo sapiens
CCAGGGGAATAAGGGTGGAGGGTGGAGTCATGGAGATGGAAACACCAGTGGAATAAGAGGTAGAGGGTGGTGTCATGGAGATTGAAACACCAGTGGAATAAGAGATAGAGGGTGGGGTCGTGGAGATGGAAACACCAGTGGAATAAGAGGTAGAGGGTGGGGTCGTGGAGATGGAAACACCAGTGGAATAAGAGGTGGAGGGTGGGGCCATGGAGATGGAAACACCAGGGGAATAAGGGTGGAGGGTGGGGCCATGGAGATGGAAACACCAGTGAGGCACTAGGGATACATTCACATGATTTGGAAATGCAAAGACATGGAAGACAGAGCACAGAAAGAAATGACAAGCAGCTCCAATTTCTGAGTGCAGGTAACTGAAAGAATGATGGTATCACCGAAAAAATAAAGTAGTTGTGTGGGGGCTCACTTGACGGGGAAGACAAGGAGTTCACTTTTGCACAAATCAATCTGAACTGAAAGCAAGGAACCAACCGTGCTCTAGGGAGTAAGAGATACCCAACCAAAACTCAGGAAGTGATTGCCATTTAAGCTCAGCTTCCGATCAATTCACATAGTTAAATCCACATGTGAAGTAAGCTTACAATCACTTTCCGAATTTTTATTACTCTAATATATATTTAAATTAACTGCAAATAATGTTTTTAGTATCGGAATGTATTTATACCCTTCCTTTTTAAATATACAGGAGTTAAACATCTCAACGAATATCAGCATTGGAAGAAAAAACTGTTTGCAATGGAAAGGAAGAGCAATGTTCCAAATCTACTTGAGTTACAGAAAATCAAACTTCTCCTCAGGCCTTTCCTCCAGCAAAACATTCCTGTCGACAAAACAAGCTGGAAAGTGTGGGGCTGGGTTCCTGCTCCAATCCTTCCAGCTTTTTAGAACCCAAGAGACTCAGCTCACTTCCCAGCGCCACTTCCCATCCACCTTCCTTGGATGTTTTCCACTCTAGTTGGGTTCAGGCCGGCAGTTTCTCCACATTCTTTAGCTCTCTGTTTTATTTCCAACATACTCCAGGCTGGTTGAGAAAGGGGAGAGGGGAGCCTCATGCTGCCCACTGGGTCCCCTGGGCAGGGCACACACACCTCTATCAAAGGGTCACTGATTCCTGGGAATTCCAGCCAATGACAGAACTAGGTGGTCTTAATTGCATTTGAAAATAAGACTAGAGAGAACAGAAAGAACAAATAAGACAAGGTAAATGAAATGCAAAAAAAAAAAAAAAAAGAAAAGAAAGAAATTTCACAGGATTTTGCAAACTTTTGTTAAGCATTTGAATTCCAAAACCCTCAACCAAACAAAGCTTTCACAGCTATTTGTGCCTCAGGCTTATTTCCTAATTCAAAGCTGTAATGGGATCAGGTTAGTAAGAGCCTGCAATGGAAAACTGAAGCACAGTGCAAACTGATCTCTCACACTGTCGCTAATTTATCTTCTAAGACATTTGCAAAAACTCTCTTCACTGACTCCAAATATTGTCTGTATGGGTGCTTGGTATCAAACTGTGAAATGGCTCTGTTATTATGAAGTGCAACTGTTAATCTCAGAAGAGTGAAAGCAACCTGGCCCATCTGCATGGAGCGCTAACACAGTGCCCGGTACAATTCAGGCGGACCCCTTCTCTGTCTTACACACAAGGTATGGAAAAGAACAGCTTGCCCTAGAAAAAGCAGACATTCAAATGGGAGGCTCACTCAGCCTTTCAGCTTCCTCTGCCTGCGGCATCTTGGAGAGGCACATGCCCACAGGGAGCGTTGGGCTAGATCATGGTTTGCTGGGCTGAATGCTGGAGGATTTGAAGCAGGCCCAGCTGGGAGGGAGAATTAGGAGCAGTCGGACCCTTCATGCTGGTCTGAATCCAACCAGGCTTGACTGAGTCACAGGCAAAGAAATGATTGAAAGACCAACACCAACTCCAAAGACAGAGGTTCTGCTGCAAGGACAGGTGAGCCCGTGGCTGAACCCCAGGCAGAAGCCGGAACACAGCCGGGAGAGTCTGAGACAGAGTGGAGGCTGTCCCGAGCTGCAGGTTAAAGCATCACTGGGGTTTGCCTGGCTTGTCTTCATTGTTCGGAGGGCACAAAGGTGCAGGATCAGGGCAGACATGTAGGGAACCTTTGTCTGCAGCAGAAAGTCTTTCCCCACCCCCCATTGCTCTACTTCCCCAAATCGTTCAAAGCTCATTTCATCTAAGACACTGCTCTTCCAATAAAAGGTTTACCTCAGACTCACCAAACAGCTGATCCCCGTAGCGTGTTACATTCCACGAGAACCTAGGCACACAGAATGTCATGACTTGAAAACACGAGGCATTTGGACCAAGGGTTGGCAAACTTTTTCTATAAAGGATCAGATTGTAAATGTTTTAGGTTACCTGAGCCAAGAGACAAAAATCAAAGATATTATGTTGATATTAATAAAAGAAGAGATAAAATAAATTTCCACAACATTTTTCTTGACAAAATTCAAACTATAACATAATCATTTAGTTTTTGTTTGTTTTGATAATACAGGCCCACAAAAGAGATAAATGGAATCGTTTGAGGAGGAGATAACATTTTGCTTATTGGAAGTTCAAAGTTAGTTCCCTAGAACCAAATTAATCCCAAATGTTCATCCATAAAAACCATTCTCAGCCTGTATTGCCACACATAAGCAGGAGGGGCTGGATCTGGCCTGGGGGCTACAGTTTGCAATCTCTGGATTTAGACTAATCTGCCTGTTATATACACAAGGCATCTGAACCTCAGAGACTTAAGGATTGCTGAAAATCACAGGTCTTGTGGGAACATGGCAAGCCCCTCACCCCACCTGGATGAAGATGTGTCCTGGCCTCAGGACAAGCCTGTCGGTATTAAAGTTTCAGGTTGTCTATTCTGGCTCATTTTATGTGACCACTCGCCCAGGCCGTCGCACCCAGATAGGTGGTCAAACACTGTTCTAGTCACATATTGTTATTTATTCCATTTCTGTGAGGGTATGCTGGAATATGATTAATACTTCAGTCAGGGGACTTTGAGTAAAGCTGATTGCTTTCTGTAATGTGGGTGGGCCTCATCCAATCAGTTGAAGGCCTGAATAGAACAAAAACTGACCTCCCGCAGTCCTGAGGGAATGCTGCCAGCCAGTGGCCTTCAGAAGTGCAATGTGGGCCCTTTCCTGGGTCTGCAGCCTGCTGGTCTATCCTACAGATTCTGGTCTTGCAGTCTCCATAATCATGTGAACTAATTCCTTCAACGAAATCTCTGTCTGTCTCACCCTCCTACACAGACATGTACACACACGCGCACACACACGCACACACACACACGTTTCTCTGGTGAACCCTAAGCAATGCATTGACTCAGATAATCATCTTATGGGAAATGCTATGAAAAAAAGAACCTAAACACACATACAAGCTTATGGTAATCGTGGGACACTTGTGTGAAGAAGCAAATGCAACTATTGTAATTCATAGCATTGAAGGTAATTTATTTACATTCATTAATTGCCTACAAGATAAGTATTGCAAATATAATAGCAAACAAGCCTGACCCAGCCCTGTCCTCTCGTTGCTTATATTCTAATGGAAAAGTAAAACAGGACAAACAGAAAAAAAAAGTGCTGAATAGACAAATAATAAATAAAAACTGATGAACGCGCTATGTAAAAACAAAAATGGGACTGACGGAGAGGGGCAGGAAATGCCTCTCTGACGGTCAGGTCTAAACGGAGAGGTCTTCCCTGAAACTTCAGGAAGGGGCAAAATTGAAGCTGAGGAAACAGCACAAACAGCCCTGAAATGGAAAAGGTTTTCGATGCTTCACAGACCTGGAAGATCAGTGTGTGGGGGACGTGCAATATGAGACGAAGCCTGAAGCAGATTGGGAATTTGGCTCCAGAGATGGTGGTGGTATGGACAATACAGTGCTGAGACTCCAACTCCTGCCCTTTGTCTCCACTCACCAACGGCAGATTCCCCCTGAAGATGGGCTGGGAGATAAATATCCCATTCAAATGGACCCTAAGTGAAGAGGCTCATGGGGAAAACCTTCCTCCCATTGCACACCCACTGCAGGCAGAGCCTTCCCAAGCTCCGTCCAGGCCTCCTGCCTAGTTATCTACGGGGTGAATCAGTCCACAGAGAAACACTCACCAAAATGTCAGCTGGACTTCAACAGGAAGGGTCAAGCTCACAGGAAATTATATGAGGTTTTTAGAAAATTACAACAAATTCAACTGTTTGTAGTCAGTAACTAACTCAGCGCCTAGCGTATAAGGCTCAACAAATCATATGGAAAGTTATCTGGTGTAAATACCCAGCGTTCCTGGTCTCGTGCCAGGAAGATTTAGAACACAGACACACAGGAAGAGTTTAGGAGCAGATGTTTAATAGGCAAAAGAAAGAGGAAGGAGAATAGTCTCTCTCTAGTGAGAGAGAGAGAGTTTCCCAAAGGGAAGACCAGCCGGCAAGGAGTGTGCAGGATTTTTTAGGCAGGCTTGAGGAGGCGGTGTCTGATTTCCCCAGAGCTTACATAGGTTTACACGGCATGCGGAGAAGGCCGGCCACCCCACCCGAATCTTATTATGCAAATGGACTTTCCACTTGACCGGTGCCATCTTGTCTGCTCCTTCCTGTACACGTGGTTGGCAAAGGGAAGGGGAGATGGAGCCTCCGTTTTGAACATGCCTAGTCCCCGTAGCTTTTTCCTGCTGACCTTCACCCATGCAAGCTTGCCGCTGGCTTGTCTATGTCTGCAGCTCCATCTTACAGGCTGATCTTTGTTAGACAATGATTTTGGGGCTGCTTTTCATTAAAAAGCAAAACCTACTGAGGATTCCCATACCCTCACTATCTGCCTAAGCAGTTTCTTCTTAACGCCTATATCGTTAAGAGAGATATTATGCAGCTTAGAGTTATTAGGGTTTGTGAAATAACAAATAAAGAGATAAAAGGTTTTTGTGTGTATTGGTGTGAAGATATGTATATATATATAGACATATATATTCTGTTGTGCCTCCTGGAGTTTAACCCCTAGTCACTTTAACTGGTTGGTCTAGGCTGTTCCAAAAATTATCTTAAACACACATTTGCAAGCCATATTGCAGATGATGTGATCTTACCTGAGAAATGTTTCACTGGCAGAAAGAAGCCCTCTTTTTGTCTTTAAAGGCTCCTTTCTTTTCTCCTTTCATCTGTTTATAAGTTTGAATAGTGCTTATTGGAATAACTAGAGCAAATCTGGAAAAGCCTGGGCACATTGTTGTCAGCTACAGGATTTGCTTTGTGCAGTTTGGCTTTTACTACTTCCTTGAAGAGCTACCTTCCATTGAGACCACACTAGTAACCCTGGCAGTCCATACACAAGTAACACATCACCAAATGGCCACAGACAGCCAAATGGCTGACTTTAAAAGCTGGACAATTCACATGCAGAAATCATTGGCTTCCGTTATTTGGGGAATTAGTGTATCTGATGGGGGGCAGTACTGAACCAGTTTTATAATTTCTTCTGTAGAGGCCAAACCAAAAAAGCCTAGAATGAATGAATGTAACTGTGAATGAATAAACAAATGTGTTTCCAAAAATAAGTGATTCTTATATTAGACCATATTTTGAAAGATCTCAAAGTCCTTTTTATAAACTCCATTTGTCGAGAAAAATAACTCCTTTTATTAGGTTCCCTCTCAAGGATGTAGAACATACAGACTTGGGCATGAGGAAACATTTAAGAATCTCAGTATTTAACATTTACTAGGAGGACGTGCCTTTCTGAAGCGTACTCTCACATGTCTCCTTCAAATCTCCATGGATCCTTGCCTCAGGTGAGTGACATTTTAGGTGGAAATCAAGGAAGAGGTGGAATTTTATATCTGGGCAGATGTCATGTGGGCCAGGTTCAGCCTACATAAAAAAGTGATGCGGACCATAAACTCGGCACCTACGGCAAGTGGCCTGCTTGCTAGGCCTCTCTTATCTAGATCACAGGAGCAGGAAATGCCAGTTGATATCTGGATTACATATAGAGAATTCATTTGGCAATCACCCTCACAAATTCCGACCAGCAGCCAGACCAGGAAATATATTACCACATACTTCCTTCCTGGGGCAGAGATAAAACTGCCCTGGAGGAGATAAGCCTTGAGGCCCTGTGACTCCCGCTCCCACTTAGTGATCATGCTCAGAACCACTTCTGTTGACTGATATGAAATCTCTTCATTACAGTTTACTAGAAATAATCCCTCACACCAAAAAGGGGAGTCATTTCCCCAAAGCCAAATCGCTTGGTATTTTCCAACCCAAGAGTAGAAACCAGCTGTCCTGCCACCCAAACACCCAATGCACCCTCCACCATCCTTGCTGCTGGGCTTTAACAAAAGAATCTCAAAATCAGAGTGGGATTTGAAGACTAGAAGAAGAAAGCAAAACAAGACTATCTGGCAAGGCTGGATGAGGAGCTTTGCAGCCAACCAGGACTGAGGTCTTGACACAGAAGGCCTGGAGAGGCTGCCATTATTCCCCAGTGAATTAAGAAAGACTTGCAGCAGCTACCTCTTAAGATACAGCAGAAGAGAAGCCACCCGAGGTAAGCGGGTCAGTGAGAAGGAAGCTTCAGACAAAGGAAGCTGTGAGTGAGGACAAAATGAAGAGGAACGAACCCAGCCACACAGTGACAAGGAAACCACAGGGTTTGGCAAGTGTCTGCTTGACCTTCTCTAAAGCAAATTAAAAATGTAGAGATGAATCTCTAAATTTAATATTTAGGAAGAAAGAATTGCGATTCACAATATAGAGGCAGACAGGGTGGTCCGAAGGTGGAAAAAGAGGACTGTTCCTCTGTGGTCCTGTGAGAAAGTTCTTTGATATTAGCAAAGTTTTGGGGGCTGGTAAGGTCTGATTGGTGGGTGACCGTGGTGGGCAAAACTAGTCCTTGATTTGCAGTTGTTATCTCACCTGCTACAGATGAAAGTGGTCTCTGGTTACAACAGGCAGTTTCAGCCACGGGACTTGCAGACGACAGCATTTCTAGAGTGACGTCATGTACCCTGAGTGCCTTTTACTCAGACCCGTCTTCTCTGATTTAGTTGGGTATGACAAGAATGGCCCAATTTGGATAATCAACTTGCACAATGCTGACTCAAGAACTGTAGCACTGAGTGTAAGGGTGCATCATTTTCATAAACTCAGAGGAAAATGTGGCTGGTGGCTGATGGCAGAGCTGAGTCCCGAGAGCTCAGCCCTGAGCTGCCTTTCATCTGGTCACCGTGTTCAGGGGTTCTTCTCCGTGTAAATAAACATCTGCGATGAAAACCTCCACAGGTCTCATCATCAAAGTGGGTCTTCAAGAAACCAATTTGCTTTCAAAACAGGAGATCGAGTGATAATCTATCTAATGTTCTAGAAATGTTTGAGGCACCCTAGACAAATGTCAATCTTAAAGTTTTCCTTTTGCCTTATTTCTCTAAGTAACACCTTCTCAAATCATGAAAGAAGAGTGATCTAAATTTTTTTTTAAAAATCCATATTAGGAGGAAGATCTATTAAGGATCTAGTGAGTAAATGGCACTTTTGGAATGTTTAGAACTTCGAGGGGGAAACCACATGTTTTCACATCCCACTATATCATTTCCATAAGGATGAGGCAAAGCACTACCCCTATTTGCAGAAGAGAGACTGCCGTGAAGTCAGTGGACACTATCTCCAGGTCAGAATCCAACCTAAAAGCCTTTAATCAATGGTAAGTGCTCTGAGGCACAAAATCCTATGCTCCTCATCAGTCATGCTATGTCCTCTGAATATTCTGAATTCACCAGAACCTAGTAGACCTATTTTAAGTTTCTCCAAAAATGTCAAAACTCTGTTTCATAGAAAACCAGAACTTTCATGTCAATTGTTCCTGAGAACATTAATAACAAAAGCCAAAACAAGTTTCTTAAACTCTGTCAGCCAGTTTTGTAAATATGACACAAGTAAATACTTCTGGACATCATTTAGGTATTAACGTAACATGCATAAGCTAGAAAAGGCAGCATTAAATTTGGATGTTTTTGACTTTTGTTTCTCAACTTTTTAAAGATTAAATCATAGGATCTTATTCTCTTCTATTCCCTCTAGGGAAAGCAATGTGCTGATATTTTTCTGAAAGATGCTAACAGTGGAAGGAACTATTGAAAACAATTAGAGGAAAATCGCACCTTGAACTTAGGAGAACGTGTACACCATGTTCTCACAGGAAATCTCAGACATGATATTAAAAATTCCAGTTGTTTCATTTTTTTGCAGAACAGCGTGTAGTTATGTACTGAGTGCACTGTGCAGGGGCACACAGGGCATACCAAAGGCTTCTTTTGTTTATGATACAGATTCGCACTGTATTCGAAAGGTTTTCTTTCAAATGCCTTATCACAGTGTGTCCAAACTTCTTGTAGGGAGCAACGGGGCCTCTATTTAAGCCTCTTGTGAGCCGATCCACCAGCCAAGGTCATGTTGCTTTCCCTTAAGAATCAGAGCCGCGGGGATCCTGTTCTATCTGTTCTTTCCACAGCCTCCTGTCTTTCAGCAGGGCAGATGCCTCCCAGAAGGAAACCAGATGCCAGGACTGTGGGGGACTCTTGAGCAGCATCAGCCAAACTGTAGGAGCTGAGAAGAGGAAGCTTTGCTCAGGGTGAGCGCCCTGGGATAATGTCTTTAATGTCAAGAGGATGCACGCTGTGAACGTGGAAAGCCCTCCAGGCTGAAAGAGGGAGTCACACAGGCGGGGAGTGTTGCCAAGCATTTGCGAGCACTCTCTTCGGTGGGCAAACAGCCGGCTTGCTCATGATTCCGTCTTCTCTGTTATTGGCAACAAGCCGTCACTGGAACTTTGTATCCTTAAGCTTTGAGGCCTTGACTCAGGTGGGGGTCCCGGAATAAGCTCATGAAGTTTTTGCCTCGGTACCCCCAGGCTCCAAATCACTGGTACAAATTTCTCAGTCTGACTTAATGCTTAGGGAAATGTCGTATTTTTGGATCCTTCATTTTAAAAAAACATATATATTTACCAGTGCTATCTCCGCCAATTCCGAATAAACCTTAGACTTCAGATCATGAGCCACTAGGAGTCTGAATATGTCCTTTATTTGGATTCAAATAAGATTTTAACTTCCTGGCACCATGGTTTTCTGAAGGTGCCAGTGTGAGACCTGGGTCATCAGAATGACTTGGCACTGGGAAGCCACAGAATGGTGCAGTAAGATCTTGCTGTCTCGGTTTCCGCCTTAGAAACAATATCATACACCTTTTCTCTTTCACAGAATGCTAAAATTTAGCATATGTTATAGTGTTTATTGACAATAATAAGGCAGGATAGCAAAGTGGTTAAGGAATGACTGCACTCAACAACCATAACCTCCTATGGTGCCAGGGACGGCAGGCAAATGCCATGCATGGAGGTCAGTGTCAGCAGAGATCAGCTGGTGTGCTCAGAACACTGTGGGAACTAAGGGTCTGAGCCATCAGGACTGTCCACAGATATTCCACTCCTTCTGCTCATATAATATGCTTGCATTCCCCATGTTTTACAATTTGAGTTCAGGATTTGTTTAATTCAGGTATGGTAAAGTGATAGACACAGACAGGAACAACTGCCTTTGAAATAAGAGCTTGATTCCTTACAGTTCCTAAGAAAAAGGAGCATTGGCATGACACACAGGGCTGCCCAGGCAGCGCCAGGATTGGGCAGGAGGCAGGAGTACAGGAAGCATGGATCGAAGCCTCCATGAACACAGAGGGGAGAAGTCACAAAGTAGGGACGGCCCTTATTCGGCAGGAAACAAGTCACAGATTTGTTTGTGGCTGGAGGGTTTGTGATATGACTTTTATGCTACCTCAAAAGTGGGACTGAAGGGTGATGTAGACACCTTTGGCCATTAGTTTGGCCCTGTGATTAGTGGATGTCAAATCATCAATTACAAGATCTGTAGAAGTTGGTTGGAACACCCCACCTTGTGCAGACAGTCTGTTCATGCAAGTCGGGCAGGAATCATGAGTGGAAGCGGCACGTGTCACCTCCTGCAAAGGACCAGCACAGGGGACACCACACTCCCTTCGCCTGCCACAGTGGCCACGAAAGCACCTCCATCAGCGTGCATTCTCAAGTGACTACCTGGGTGGCCTGACGGGTCTAGAGTCTTTCAAGGGTCTGCTGGCATCTCATCTGCGAACATCCCACTGGCCACAGCAAATCTCATGGTGGGATGGTTAATTGTACGTGTCAACTTGACTGGGCCACAGGGTGCCCAGAAATTTGTTTCAACATTATTCTGGGTCTGTCTGGGAGGGTGACTGCAAATGAGATTAGCATTTACATTGGCAGACTGAGCACAGCAGGTTGTCCCCTCCGCCCCACCTGATGTGGCTGGGCCTCAGCCAGTCAGCTGGAGGCCTGAATGGAGCAAGTCAGAGGGAACTCTTTCTGCTTGGACTGCTGTGAACCTGGGCATTGGGTTTTGTGTTTTGTGTTTCTGCCTGTGGACCTGAACTGAAACATCAGATTTTCCCTTGGAAGCCCACCAGCATTTGGACTAGAATTAGCCCATCAGCTTTCCTAGGTCTGCAGTTTGCAAATGCATATCTATCTTGAGACTTCTGTTTTCATAATCACGTGAGCCAATTTCATATGGTATATATTTATAAAATAGTATTATAGGCCGGGTGCAGTGGCTCACACCTGTAATCCCAGCATTTTGGGAGACCAAGGCAGGCAGATTACAAGGTCAGGAGATTGAGACCATCCTGGCAAACATGGTGAAACCCCGTCTGTACTAAAAATACAAAAATTAACGGGGCATGGTGGCGGGCGCCTGTAGTCGCAGCTACTCGGGAGGCTGAGGCAGGAGAATCACTTGAACCCGGCAGGCGGAGGTTGCCGTGAACAGAGATCATGCCACTGCATGCCAGCCTGGCGACAGAGCAAGACTCTGTCTCAAAAAATAAACAAATAAATAAAAATAATATTATGAACAATATTATTTTATATATATACACACCTATCCTATTGTTTCTGTTTTTCTGGAGAACCTAGACTAATTCACAGGGCTAAGCCCAAAGTCAAACTTGGTGACCTCTATAAAATTACATGGCAAAGGCTGGAGAAAAAGGAAACAGTAAACATTTGGGGTCACATTTGCAATTTACCACAGATGGCAAGAAGATAGAACTGCTTTTCCCGATATCTGGATGTCTGTTTCCAGCCACCCAAATCTTCCTAAAGACGTGGAAATGCTGTGGCCGCTGCAGCAGTGGGCAGAGGAGTGGTCAGGCCGGGAAGAGGAGGTGCTCAGGTCACCTTTCCCATCCCCAGGATGGCTGGTGGCCCCCTGTGCTGCGTGCATTTGAAGGCCTCACCTGCCTCATGAGTCTGAATCTGAGGGAGGCAGCACATAATTAACCACTATTAGGAATTTTAGAATGTATTTTTAGTTCTCTGGAAATGTCTCCCTCATTATTCTTTGTTATTCAACTTTGAAACACATGTGTAGGAATCCACTGTGTGTAGAAGTAAGAAACTGCATATAACCAATGCTTTTCACACCAACAATCTCTCACTCAAACGAATACAAGCCAGGCTCTTAATGTTCTTGTTATAGAAGAATAACTAGGTAAGGTAAATAAAGCTGATATTAAAAATCCAATTTTACATATAAGAAGACATAGAGACGTTAAATGGTTTGCCCTGTGTCTGAAAGCTCATTAATTGCAGAAGTGTTGAAGGATTGCAGGGCTCCTGACTCTTTGGTCAGGATGCATTATGCAGCCACTCACAGAATCATTTTGAGATGGAGAGCCAGAATTCTGGAGAACAGCAGAGTGCTCCTGCAGCATGTCTGTGCAATGAGAGCACAGCAACCCTTCTAGAGAATTTGGTCAGGGATTGGGTCAGGAAATGTTCATGGAGCACCTTCTCCTTTCTCCGTGTCAGGCACTGTGCTATGTTATGGAGACGCAGGGGTGGGCAAAACCAGACCCCATACCTGCCAGCAGTATATTCTGTAAGGGGGCTGGAGGATGTAGACCTGAATCAAATATTTGCATGCACAAATAGAAACATGCAACCCATGTGTACAGTGAGGGGGAGGCCCTTGGTGCTGCGAAGACCCATAATCACAGGCCCCGGGCTGGGCAGAGGGCAGGGAGAGCTTTCCTGGGGAGCAGTGCTTGAAATAGGGTATAAAGAAGGGGTTGGAGTTATTGAGATAAATAGAAGAAACAGTGTTCCAGGTTGAGCCCAGCTGGCTTCACCTAGTGGATCCCGCACCTGGCCGCAGGTGGAGCTGCCTGCCAGTCCTGCGCCATGCGCCTGCACTCCTCAGCCGTTGGATGGTTGATGGGACTGGGCGCTGTGGAGCAGGGTGCAGTGCTCCTCGGGGAGGCTCAGGCCTTGCAGGAGCCCATGGCAGGGGGGAAGCTCAGGCATGGCAGGCTGCAAGTGCCAAGCCCTGCCCCACAGGGAGGCAGCTGAGGCCTGGCGAGAATTGGAGTGCAGCGCCGGTGGGCCAGCACTGCTGGAGGACTCGGTGCACCCTCTGCAGCTGCTGGCCCAGGTGCCAAGCCCCTTACTCTCTGGGGCCAGCGGTGCTGGCCAGTCGCTCCGAGTGCGGGAGTGCGGGGGCCTGCCAAGCCCACGCCCACAGCAGACCCGGTTCCCACCCGTGCGCAGCAGCCCCTGTTCCCGCTGACGCCTCTCCCTCCACACCTGTCCACAGCAGAGGGAGCTGGCTGTGGCCTCGGCCAGCCCAGAGAGGGGCCCCTACAGTGCAGTGGTGGGCTGAAGGGCTCCTCAAATGCAGCCCGAGTGGGCGCCGAGGCCGAGGAGGCACCAAGAGCCAGCGAGGGCCGCTAGGGCTCCAGCACATTGTCACCTCATGTTTAACACAAATTTTCCTATATGCTCTAAGGCTACAATTTTGTCTGTTACTCTGGTAATAATACACTTTCAGGCAGTAACTTGAAATAAAATTCAATTTTCATAAAATCTCCGGAAAACTGGAGAAAGAGGGAATTTTATTTCAGTATTGTTGTCCTGTGGATTGGAATATGTTCTAACTCACATCATAATTCTTGAAACATTATAAAATATAAAAGCTTAAACTAATATGTTTAATTGACTCCAAGAGCATTAATGAAAAGTATATAAATAGGAATACAGATGTAGTAATAAAAGAGAATTATCAGTCACCCTTAATTTAATTGGTGTCACCTTAGCTTTTAGAAGGGTAATAGGTAAAGACTGTTGTGCTCAGAACACCAGAAATCTATTCGAACTAGGTGAAAATTTACTAGTGAAGGTATTTGTGAAAATAGAAATGCAGCTTATGTAAAAACTATTCACTTACATCTGCCCACAAATACAGAAACATCTGAATGCTCAGTTTTAACCTATTCCTCAGTAGGTTAAAGTGCTCTGGGCTTACTTGTCTCTTCCTCTTGACTTGGAGAGAAGAGAAGCCTTTGCTTTTACTCAGCATGAAGGAGCCTCAGGATAGTCACATCTCAACTCTTAGATGCCTGAGAGCTTTGTAATGCAAATCAGGCTGCTCCTTTTTTCTTACCAGCAACTTAATTTGGGACAGGATTGATTGACTAGAAAGTTTGCTAATCAGTTTGAAACAAAACTAGGCTGGGGGCCAATGGAAGTTTGCCAGAACCTCCCTTCTGAAGACAAGGTCGACAGCTGGTCTCACTTTGGAAATGCTTTTGCCCATTATCTTATCATTTGGTCCATTTTATGTGGTCCACATCTCAAATTACAATGTTTATTTTGAAGGCACTCCAGAGAAAAGAAAGAGAAAAAAAAGACACCACACATGACTTACAGAACAGATTTTATAATACTTTGAAAATGAGGTACCTCGTTGTAAATTTAAAATCCGCCTCCTGATTGTTTTAGAGTTGATAAGTATATTGACGGTTGTGAATGACTGCTGAGCTCTGGCTTTTGGGTGTAGCCGATGTGACAACATTTGTTGGTGAAGCAAAGAAAACAAGTTTGATTTGACCATGAGAACATATGAATTCCTGAACTGTTAAAAATAATAACTCTTGTTTGTGTCATTCTCCAAAGTTTTAAAATAAAATTAGATCATTGTGCCCAAACCAAAAAGTTCTGAAGTCATTGAAGTGATGGAATCATAGGATGCACTGCAGGGGCTGAAATTCCAAACCTTGTAGGGACAGGAAGGTAACGTGAATGTATGAATCGGACTAAATGTGGATAGCGGGGAAGAGTGGGTTCAGTGGAAAACTAGAAAGAATGTGCTTCTAAGGATGTTCAAATTTGGATTTAGAAAACAAATACCAAGCCTGCAAAACAGGAGACCTGGAATAAATTATCAGCTTTGAAAAAATCAGAGTTTGAAAAAATATATTAATTCTTATTTCAGAGACATCCATGTAATTCAGTGTCTTTCACAAGGCAGACAAAAAGATCTTAGGAGAGAGAGACAAAGGAAAATAGAAACAAAGAAAAGGTGTTAAGTTTCTAAAAAACAGACACTGTGTTGGGCTTTGAACATATAGAATAGCATGAATTCTCACCATGACTACCTGCAGTAGCCAGTATTATTCCCACTTCATGGATGAAAGATTCAATCTTAGAGAGTTTAGGTAACTTGTAACAGTAGAAAAGCAAGAATTTAATTACAAATCCTATGTTCTCTTCTCTATACTAAATGTATGAACTCAAGCAAGTTATTTATCCTCTTTATTCTTCATGTTTTAATGGGCATAATAATGGTTTATTCACTAGAATATTTTAAGAATTAAAGTTAATAATTGTAAAAATTCTCACAGAATTTTTTTTATGTTTGTTGAATATGAAAGTATGATAATTACTTTTGTTGAGCAACTATCAGCATAGCAGATGTTTGAACTGTTTCTGCAGAGGGATTTGGGCAAGACACCTTTTATTCTTATACCTGGGTTTTATTGTGAAGTTATATCCAGTTAAGCTTGTGAGAATTTGGAGTGCAGCCTGCAGTTGTATGATGGCTGAGGAATACAGGAACATTGTGGTTACTGTAAACATGAGAGTAATAACTGCAAACTAAGGAATAACAGTATATTAATCAGGATCCTCCAAAGAAACAGAAGTGTGTGTGTGTGTGTGTGTGTGTGTGTGTGTGTGTGTGTAGAGAGAGATTATTTGTAGGGAATTGGCTGCCACAGTTATAGAGGCTGAGAAGTCCTGTGATCTCTAGTTGGCAAGCTGAAGTCTGGAGACCTTGCAGAGCTGATGGTATAGTTCCAGCCTGTCTGAAGGCCTGAGAACCTGGAGGGCTGATGGTGTGATTTACAGTTCAAAAGCCAGTGCGCTCAAGACCCAGAAGATCTAATGTTTCCATTTGAGTCAGAAGCCAGGAAAAGACTGGTGATGTTCCAGCTCAAGCAGCCGGGCAGAAGGAGTTCCCTTGTTCCACAAGAGGGCCAGACTTTTTGTTTTATTCAGGCCTTCAGTTGGTTGGATAAGATTCACCTACATTAGGAGGACAACTGGCTTTACTCTATCAATTTAAATGTTAGTCTCCTCCTGAAACTCTCACAGCCCTCACAGACATACCAAGAATAATGTTTGGCTTAATATCTGGGCACCCTGTAGCCCAGTCAAGTTGACACATAAAAGTAATCATGACATATGGTAATGTGTAATAGGATAAGCTGTAATGAGTTAGGAAATGGTCTGATGTTAACAAAATAATAAAGAAAGCAAATGTGTTGAATGCCTGTGGGAACTTGTAACGAGATAGTCATGCACATGGTGAAGAAATTTGTTAGCTGAAGAAGTTCAATACACTGGCTCCTCCAAGATAACTTTCCCACAGGAAACTTTGGGAGCTACTCAGGTATTGCATCCTCTGGGAGTAATTAACTATTCACTAACAGGAGGTTTGCGTGTAACCAGCAACAGCAGGTAAAATTTCAGGTGCTTCTATCAAAGAACTAGAGAGATAGCTCAGCCACTGCTGGATCCTGTGCGAGGATCCCTGGGGAATGCACCTTCCCTGAGGTATGATGTGACACTTACAATATACACTGATGTATAGTGTATACGTTTTATTGAGTTGGAGCCAGATGGGGTCTATTTACTCCCAGTTGATTTTCAGAATCATCATTTTTATATATTCTCAACAAACCTGTCCCTTTCTCTCCTCGTGGTAACCACCTGGCACAACTCTATCCCTTGTAAATCCAGCTCTCCACAGAGCTGAGTGTGGCTGGAGAAGCCCACAGTGACGCTGATTGCTCTTCCCTTACATTCGTGATCACTAACCGGGGCTGGCTGCCTGATTTGCAGGGCCCAGGGCAAAATGAAAGTGTGGGGCTGTTCGTTCAAAAGACATTTTTAAAAAGCCTCATTAAATGCACTAAAATCTAAGGTGTTTTCATTTTCAAAATAATTTGTGACTTATAAACCATAAAGCAGGCAACAGTGACACATGAGAAATAACATAAACTTACAAATTGCAAAAATTATGTGTGACTCCACAGTCACACACATTAAGCCACCAATGCAGCTGGCCCTGTCGCTAACCGCTAGTAGGCTCCTAGCACACCTGCCATTCTAATGCCTTCCCTCGCTCATTCATGTTTCTGGGAGGCTCCTTCAGATTCTCTCTCCTCTTAAGCCTCTAATGTTTTCTCTCCCATCCTCACTCTCAGTTAATGACTTTGGGGTATATGTCACTGAAAGAAAAACAAATTTAAGCCAAAACCAGAATAAGATGAGAGCTTCTGCAAACTGCTACTTCCTCATCACCCCCCACCTGGATCTATGTCCAAACACTGTCTTCCTTTTTGTTACCCATAAGTTAAACTGGAGCACTAAATCCCAATGTCTCTCTCGAATTCCAGCAATTCTCCTTCTACCTCCCACAATGTCGACTTTTCTGTCTCTACTGGAGTGTTCCTATCAACATGCACAGTTGAATTTTCCCATCTGGCACTACCTGTCCTGATCTTATGTTCCTTTCAAACTACTGCACTATTTCTGCTTTCTTCAGAGTGGAATTCTTTGGAAGGGTTTTCATATTTACCATCTCCAATTTCTGTCTTCATTTTTCCTCTCAGATCCACTAGGTCTGACAGTTTCCTCTGTCCTTTCACAGAAATTGCTCATTTCAAAATGTGAATATCTTCCATGTTGTTATAGCCCATGATCAATTCTTAACCCTCTTCTCACTTAGCCATGAATAGCATTTGCACAGCTGGTTGTTGCCTGACCCTCAAACACTTTCTCACTTGGCTCCATGACACCCCAGACTTCTTGGTTTCCTTCCTTCATCGTTGGCCTCATTTCTCCCTCTGCTTTGCGGTTCCTGCTGTTCACCCTGTGCTTTACACGCTGCAACAGCTTAGGGGCTAGTCCTCTGACATCTTCTCTACCCGCATGTACTCCCTTAGGGATTTCAAACAGTCTCATAGCTTTAAGCACCATCCATACACTGACGACTCCCAGATTCAAAGGTTTAGTCCAGACCTTACCCTTGAACTCCAAATGGGTATACCCACGTACCTAGGAGATAATCCTTACACTCCCTTCTTTCTCCACTATGCTTAATTTAATCTGTCAGAACGTCTGTGATTCTACCTTCCAAATAGATCCATAACCTGACCCCTCTTCACCACTCATCTTGCTACTCCTGGTCCAAGTCACCTCCACCTTGCACTTGGATTATGGCAATAGTCTCTTAACTGTTCTCCCTCTTCCACTGGTTCTTCTTAGTCTTCTATTCATTACGTAGGGATCCTGTTAAAAGACAGGTCTGGTAATATCAGTCCTTTGTAAACATGTCCAATGGCTTCTCACCACAATCAGTAAAAACCAAAAACCCTCCATCTGGTGGCCCCCAGCCCCTTCCTTCTCCACCTCACATGTGCTTCCTTTGCTCACCCTCTCTTGACTGCTTCCTGCTCTTCAAACGTGTTAGGTTATGCTCCTTCCTCTGGGCCTCTGTCTGCAACATCCTTTCTCCAACATCTTTGTGGGTGGCTCTCTCACTTCTACAGGTCTCGCTCATGGGCCTTCTGGCGAGCCCTTCCCTGATCACCGTGCTTGCATGGCAGGCTGGCACTCTGTCTGCCCTGTTTAGTTTTCTTCACGAGATCAGAAAGTCCTGTTTGTCTTGTTTACTGCTTTATGACCAGGGCCTAGAAGCACTTGGCACAACTAGGCATTCAGTACAGATTTATTAATTGAATGAGTAAATAGCAGTTGTGAATCAGAACACAATGGAATCTATGTCTCCAAAACTTTGTGATGAATAAAACTGGCTAAAATATGAGAATTTTATGTACCTTAGTCACATATCATAAGATTTTCTAAGTAGAATTCATACTTGGTTGCATGTCCTAAGATCTTTTTAGGGAGGTTTCCTCTTTCTAAGGGGATTCAAAGATATCAGTGAAACCTGAAAATTGTCTTGGGTTAAGTAGTGCATTGTGGAGTACCAAATGGCATGAAAGAACAAAACTGCTGTCACTGTGACTGCCATAGTCAATGTCAATGTTGGATATGACTGCATGAGCTGACAGCCCCTGGAGCATGTGAAATATATGAAATGCACACTGGACATAACAGAGCATTTTTGCAGGGAGCTGGACCAACTCTTTTATATGACTAAGATGCTATTTGCAATTTATATAAAGGAAAAAAGCAAATATGCTCCATGCAGTGCCTAAAAGAGCCCTAGTGGCTTCAGGGTAGAAAGCCATCCCACTTCTCTTCAGCAGAGCATGAAATCAACCTACTACCTTTTATCAGGTTACTTACATAAAGGAATTGTGCCTATTAATAAAACATCATGCATCTTGTTTCTCCAAGAGCAATGATAACCAAACTCTCCTTTCCCGTTCCCTCTTCCTTCCTTCTCTGGGGTCAATTTTTGCTGCCCTGTGTTCTGTTCAGCATGCATTAGCCATGAGGATCAGATTGTTAGTCCAGATGACTTTGAAGTAGTTTTTCTTATGGTAAGGTTTTCTCCTAAGTCTGTAGCATAGAATCCTTGTTTTGGGGTTGATCCATGCCTAACCTGAAGATGATAGAATGCAAATTCTGCTTTACATTTGTGTATATAAATATTGCATCAGTCACATGTCCATTTTGGTGGCAACATCGTCTGTGGTTTTCTTAGCTGCCCTGGGATCAGATTTGCTTAATCATGTTCCCTTTTCTTTCAGGTTGTGCTTGGCTTCTTGCTGCCCACACCTACTCCATGATTTCGTGCTAATTTCTGCCCTTCTTCTCAGTTAGTGAAAGCTTCCCCGCACTCATTATCAGCACACTTGAATGTCCACTTAGTGTCAGACGTACAATTTTTAAAGTGAGAATTTCATCCAGGACTTTTACAAAGCCTCTCATGTGGCCACAGACTGCAGTTAAAAAACTAGCCTGTTAGAATGGTCACCTTGACATCATAGTCCAGAAGTGTCCCAATAATGGATGTGCAAAAAAGGAGTTAAAAAATGAGAACACCAGCCCACAAAGAATGGTACCACCCAAGCATTTGGACCAAGTCCACAGTTTTTATGTTTTTGTGCCACATAGCATAGACAGCCTAATATATTTAAAGTAACACTTAAAATGTACTTTAGGGATTCAAATTTTAGCTCCTTGTTTCTGTTTGCTAATACAGAACATAAATTTTGAAAAAATAAACTTTTAATTGAAAATTTTACAAAAAGTAAAATAAAAAACTGCTTATATTTCCATCCAAGGGAAAGAAGATACACATAGTAAATACTTTAAAAGTATGTATATTCTTTCACCCGCTTTTAGGATTTATCCTAAGTATAACTAGCTGTTTTATAAAGATGTTCATCATCATTATTTACAGTAAGAAAAAATGAACCTAAATGTTGACAGAATTCACGGAGTGAGCTATGGTGCCTGCACACAGTGGGGAATTACGCAGGACTGAACACTATGTTTAAAAGCACTTTTAATGGCATGTCAAACACTTACTCTAATATGGAAAATACAGTGATTTCGTGGATATACAAAAACATCCTCATTTTTGTGTAATCGTGTATCATATATGATCCTAAGTACGTAATACTAAACATGAGAAAAAATGCTTGCTAAAAACAGACCAAAATGTAGAGGGCTGCCACTGTGTGGTGTGATCGGGTGACTTTTTGCCTTTTAATTTATATTTTTGTTGGCACAGAACATTGTTCTCATGTGCCCGAAGAGATTTAAAGATGATCTTGAGACAATTAGCCTCCTCTCAGAGTCCTGCCGGGGTAGGTAACAGGGAAGATTGGGGCAGGTCAGAGGTGACTCCGGGACGTTTGTGCTTGGTGCCCTGCTGCGAGGGACAGCGGCTCCGCAGCTCCAGCCCACTGTTCGTCACAGGTCCTTGGTGACTGTCTTACCAGTTATTTTCAAATTCAAGATAAAACGGAAATACAGACTTTCACATAAAACTTTCTACATTTAACTACCAGCAATTACATTTTTTTGTCGTAAAACAAAGGGTAAGTCAAACAAAACGTCTAAGAGTAAATCTGTCTACAGTGTGTTCAGGAAATGAACACAGGTCAGGTTTATGTGGAAGATATCCAGGGCGTAGCACATCTGCTGGAAGCATTTCAGTCATGAGCACAGCTGGGTATTGGCCGTGAACCTGGTGTGCACTGAATACACATCCCCGTGGCCCCTACAGTGCATTCCCTGTGGATAGTTTATTAGGTTTCCTTTATTCCCTTCATCTATTCTTCCCTTTCCTTTCTTCCTTCCTCTTTTTTTGCCTCCCTCTCTCTCTTCCTGTCTTTATTAAATATATGGGATGCAGATTTGATGAATATGTCAATCAAAGATCACCAAGAAGTCTTAAACAGGTAAACCACAGAAAACAGTCAGGATCAGAATAAGAACACTGTTTAGTGGTTCTCAAGCTTTTTGTTCTCAGAACTTCTTTATAATCTAAAATGTGTTGCACCCCCTGAAAAGCTTTCACTTTTATGGGATAAAAATAAATATTTATAAAATATATAGTAAAAAATATAAATATATAAATAAATTTATGATTTGTTTATATAAATATGTATATAAAACCATATTTATCATACTAAGATTTGAAATGGACAAATATTTAAAATATTTATTAGTTAATTTTAAATAATTACCAACCTTTCAAATAAATAACATTTTAATGAAAATTAAAAAAAATTAAATTCCGCCTGGCGCAGTGGCTCATGCCTGTAATCCCAGCACTTTGAGAGGCCGAGGCGGGCGGATCATTTGAGTTCAGGAGTTCGAGACCAGCCCGACCAACATTGTGATACCCCATCTCTGCTAAAAATCCAAAAAAATTAGCTGGGTGTGGTGGCGGACACCTGTAGTCCCAGCTACTCGGGAGGCTGAGGCAGGAGAATTGCTTGAACCTGGGAGGCAGAGGTTGCAGTGTGCCAAGATGGTGCCACTGCACTCCAGCCTGGGAGACAGAGCAAGACTCTGTCTCAAAAAAAAAAAAAATTAAATTCCAATTTAATTTTTATTTTAATTTATTTAGTTCTAAAATTATATTTAATTTTGTAATTTATTTTAATCGTATATTAATCACATTTATTTTAAAACCAAATAAATGTGTTGAGAAGAGAGAAATTGTTTTACATTTTTGCAAATCTCCTTAATGTGTAGCTTAATAAAAGATAACTCTACTATTCTGTTTCTGCATTTAATCTGTTATGAAGTCACCTATCATGAATCTTCTGGAAAATTTCATGTATATTTGTGAGAGAATGAGGGTAAAAATGGCGAATAACATCTTAGTATTATTATAAAAGTCATTTTGGCCTCCTGTTGCCACTGAAAAAGTCTCAGGATGTCCCAGGGGACTTTGGCCCACACTTTGAGAATCAATGTTCAGGCTCCTTTCTGAGCTGATTATGTAGCTGAGCACGCTGAACGTCATGTGATTGAGAACCTGCCCCTTCCAGCCTTCATCTCTTCCATTAGCTTCCCTAAACCATTCATTTTTTAGGGCATTATTTTCTATCAAATACAAACACCAGTGGAAGACAGAACACATGAAGCCATTAGTAGTTTAATGCCTTAATGTGAATAAATTTAATTCATTTCAATTTGAGAGTCCATGGGGTCACAAAGGAGATGAAAGAGAAAGTACAAGAGCCAGACATAAGGTTGGAAAGAACCCTGTCCCCAGTGAAAGGCCAATTTTTTCTTTCACAGCATCGTCTTGGAACAACCTGCTTTCTGGATTCTTAGCTCACAAGTTTGAAAAGGAGCCATTCCCTGATCTATTTTAATTGCTTATCTTCAAAAACTGTCTGAACTACGGTACCCTGTGGCTACTACCTTCCAATTTAGGACTCAGGTTTCCAGGAAAAGAAAAGAGTTACAACTACTAATAAAAGTCAGTCAAAGTAACTGCTCCTCTTTGAAAGTTTCAGCTCTTATTTTAGATATGGGGGTTCACATGCAGGTGTGTTACATGGGTGTATTACACCCAGCTAGTGAGTATCGTACCCCTGGCTAGTTTTTCAATGCATGCCCCTCCCTTCTTTGCCCCGCGCAGTCCACAGCGCCTGTTGTTCCCATGTGTACGTCCATGTGTGCTCAATGCATAGCTTGGAGCTCCCACCTATAACTGAGAACATGCAGTGTGTAAACCCCACTAATTTCTATGAAAAAGTATTTCTGTTGATAACCCTGCAGGAAGCTCTTTATTAATGTCTTCATCCTTTAAACCTACTTAGCCCTATGCTGCTTTAGTCACCTGTACTTTTTTTAAAAACTGTTTTTTTCTCTCATTCTGACTTACTTATCCTTACATACATTGCTATTTCTTCATTCCTAAGGAAGTACGCATTCGATTTAAGCATCTGTGCTGAGATAAAATTAAATTCTAGTCTTTTTTAATGGGGCAAAATGGAAATATAATCTCAGGTAATGCTTTCCAGTTCAGCTTACTGCTGGTTTTTGCAGATGGAATTATAAACATACTTAATCAGAGGGAAATTCCAATACACTTTAGCCACAGGATATTCGTGCCTTTGCATGGGAAGAATTGATCTCTCCTCAAGCTAGCTGCAACCTGCGTCTTCTGAGGGAAGAGCTGTCTTCACCTGCGTGGGATGAATTTGAGGGATCACTGGCCTTGCCGTCTGAGAGTGCGGTCCCTGAGCTGGGAGGATTCTGCTGAGATTAGGTCATGCGATCAGCCTGAGGTTGCGACCATGGGGGTGAGCTCAAATTATAGTTTTGGTACCATGCCTGAGTTTAGTTGGCAAAAGTAATTCACACCAGAGGGGGAATGTGCAAGAGGTCAATAACAGAATGAGAAATCAGGGGCAGGGAAAATGCAGGTTGTGAAAGACGATGAAGTGATGATTAGAGACAGGCTAGGGTGGCCTACCAGTGGTGAAGTCCTGGGAGTGAAGAAGACGTTTGCTTCATAAATAAAGAAAGTCTTCTGTGCTGCAGGAGAATCAACTGTTGAGAGGGGTGAACGGATGCAGAGTAGTTTCCCTGTTACCACGTCCAAACAGACGTTTATTTGCTGGTAACTGCCATTTCAAAAATACCACCGGAATACTCACTATTTAAATGTTTTTATTACACCACAACTTTGGAAAACATCTCTAAGCCAGGCATATAAGCCAAGGTTACATAGTATGTCAGGAAAGGTATAACCATTAAATTATTTAACTGTGTTTTGTCTATGATTTTTAAGAAAAAAATCTATATTTTCTGCGAGTAGTGAGCAATACTTATCAATTGGTTAGTCACTTGTGTCTGCGAGTTTCATCACCAGCATGATCGGAAAGGTATCTCCCCTCAGCTTCATTTGCAGAGAGGCCTGAGTCGCTCTCAGCCTCCCCCATTTCTGCGCTGCAGCTTCTGGGGAGCCCCTGACACCACAGACCCCAGAGCAGCCCCTGCCGACAGCGTGCCTGCTCCGGACAATCCCGAGCTAAGGATCTGTTAGTATTAACCGGGATTTTCTGTCTCGTATAACGCATGGAGCAGTGTTTCTTAAAGAATGAATTTGTGAAGAAAATGCACAGCTGCCCCAAACACTGTAGGCACTGAACGAGCACTCATGGCTTCTCCCTTTGCAGAAATCTCTGTGGACTCTCCTGTTCGTGGGAGGAGTGCCTTTTTCTGGGGTGCAGTGGCTTCCTCTCCATGCTCACCTCGCACACTCCCGGCTCTGCCTCTGCCCTCGGGCCACCGGTCCCCCAGTCGTGCCACGTCCCTGCTGCCTGAGGGGATGCTTGCACGGCTCCCTCTGCCGGGACTTTCCACCTAGATGCTCGGCCTTGACCCCTCACTCACATACCCTTTTCCTCATAACTCTTTCCTGACTCTCGACACCATCCTACACTCACAGAGTACTGCACGCCTTTCTGACATAGCCGTGTGTCGGTGTGCTGTGTGAAGTGTTTTTGTGTATATGACTACTTGCATGTTACAGCAGTGTGTCAGTGTGCTGTGTGAAGTGTTTTCGTGTATCTATCTACGTGTAATAGCGTGTCAGTGTGCTGTGTGAAGTGTTTTTGTGTATATGACTATTTGTTATAGCAGCGTGTCAGTGTGCTGTGTGAAGTGTTTTCACGTGTATATGACTATTTGCGTGTTATAGCCATGTGTCGCTGTGCTGTGTGAAGTGTTTTCATGTGTATATGACTATTTGCATGTTATAGCAGCGTGTCAGTGTGCTGTGTGAAGTGTTTTCATGTGTATATGATTATTTGCATGTTATAGCAGGGTGTCAGGGTGCTGTGTGAAGTGTTTTCATGTGTATATGACTATTTGCATGTTATAGCAGGGTGTCAGTGTGCTGTGTGAAGTGTTTTCATGTGTATATGACTATTTGCATGTCATAGCAGGGTGTCAGGGTGCTGTGTGAAGTATTTTCATGTGTATATGACTATTTGCATGTTACAGCAGTGTGTCAGTGTGCTGTGTGAAGTGTTTTCGTGTATCTATCTACGTGTAATAGCGTGTCAGTGTGCTGTGTGAAGTGTTTTTGTGTATATGACTATTTGTTATAGCAGCGTGTCAGTGTGCTGTGTGTTTTCATGTGTATATGACTATTTGCGTGTTATAGCCATGTGTCGCTGTGCTGTGTGAAGTGTTTTCATGTGTATATGACTGTTTGCATGTTATAGCAGGGTGTCAGGGTGCTGTGTGAAGTGTTTTCATGTGTATATGACTATTTGCATGTTACAGCAGTGTGTCAGTCTGCTGTGTGAAGTGTTTTGTTTATGTGACTATTTGCATGTTACAGCAGTGTCTGTGTTGTGTGAAGTGTTTTGGTGTATATGACTATTTGCATGTTTTCTGCACACTAGATGGAGTGCAGAGTGTGTTGCCTGTTTTTCTCCACCGCTCCATCCTCAGTGCCTGCTACGGTGTTGGACACACAGTAGGGGTTCAGTAAATGCTAATGAACAGTCGATTAAATGAGCAAAAACCTTTATTGAATACCTACCATGTTCCAGACATGGCTAACTGATGAGAATTTACCAATTACATGCTTGCTGCCTTCAGGGAGCTCGACCTCACAAGACAGACCGTCACGTAGAGACAACTGCTACACAACATGGGAAGAACTGCTATAGAGATG
This sequence comes from Homo sapiens, assembly GCF_000001405.40. Lineage (NCBI taxonomy): Eukaryota > Metazoa > Chordata > Mammalia > Primates > Hominidae > Homo > Homo sapiens. The sequence goes on from NT_187679.1 coordinate 325,639, forward strand.
TAAAGATGTAAAGACCCAAAATGAAGAAGCCAGAACACATGAACACGAAACCAGCCAACCAACAAACACAAGCAGCATGGAGCATAGAGTCTGGGGACCAACTGCAGGGTGCTGAGGAATGCAGGTGGAGGCAGAGTGGAAATCACCTGAGTTTCCATCAGGCAGAGTTGCGCTTGAATTTGAGTTCTGGCATTTGCTGAGCCTCTCTGATTCTGTCTTCTGTAAAATAGGAGTAATAATATTTATTTATATCTACCGTACAGGCAATTGTGAGATTTACTTAAGACATACTTTGTCCATTTTTCTGTTGCTTATAACAGAATACCTGAAACTAGGTGACTTATTTTTAAAAAGCTAATTTCTTAGAGTTATGAAGGCTCAGAAATCCAAGGATGGGGGTCTGCAGCTGGTGAGGGCCTTCTTGCTGATGGGAAATCAGAAAAGCCCTAAGGTGGTTCAGAGAACCACATGGCAAGGGGGCCGAGAATGCTAGCGTGTTAGCTCAGATCTCTCTTCTTCTTATAAGGCCACCAGTTCCTCTCCCATGATAACCCAGTTATCCATTAACCCATTAGTTCTTTAATCCAGGAGTAGATTGATTCATAAGGGGATAACCCCTGTGATCCAATCACCACTTAAAGGATGCCCCTCTCAATACTCCCATATCGGGGACAGTTGCAACACAAACAAATTAAGATGGCCTATTAGACACCCTAAATCTTACATCTTAAGGTGTTCTGTGATGTTGCAGTTCAACCCCCTCTCATTCCTCTCTACTCTTTTAGCAGTTACAAACAAACAAACTCACTCACCAAAGAAAACACCAAACAAACATACATCCAATAGTATTGTGTCCGGAATTGGTGGGTTCTTGGTCTAACTGACTTCAAGAATGAAGCCACGGACCCTTGCGGTGAGTGTTACAGTTCCTAAAGATGGTGTGTCCAGAGTTTGTTCATTCAGATGTTCAGATGGGTCCAGAGTTTCTTCCTTCTGGTGGGTTTGTGGTCTAACTGGCTTCAGGAATGAAGCTGCAGACCTTCACGGTGTTACAGCTCATAAAGATAGCGCAGACCCAAAGAGTGAGCAGCAGCCGCCAAAGACGGTGCAGACCCAAAGAGTGAGCAGCAGCAGGATTTATTGCCAAAGGCAAAAGAACAAAGCTTCTACAATCTGGAAGAGGACCCTAGCCGGTTGCCACTGCTAGCTCGGGCAGCCTGCTTTTATTCCCTTATCTGGCCCCACCCACATCCTACTCATTGGCTCATTTTAGAGAGAGCTGATTGGTCCATTTTACAGAAAGCTGATTGGGCCGTTTTACAGATAGCTGATTGGTCCATTTTGACAGAGCGCTGATTGGTGCATTTACAAACCTTTCGCTAGACACAGAGCGCTGATTGGTGCATTTACAATCCTTTAGCTAGACAGGAAAGTTCTCCAAGTCCCCACCAGATTAGCTAGACACGGAGCGCTGATTGATGCGGTTACAAACCTCTAGCTAAACAGAAAAGTTCTCCAAGTCCCCACCCGACACAGAAGCCCAGCTGGCTTCACCTCTCAATGACACTTGCTCTGAGGCTTTGCGGCACCTAGCCTGGGTATTCCGGCAGCCCAGAGGGGGCAGCCCAGTAGGCACCGGCCGGCCACACCGAGTGTGGGCTCCTGAGCCTGCACCCACCTGGAACCAGCACTGGCCCGTGAGCATGCACAGCCCCGCTCCCACCTGCGCCTCTCCCTCCACACCTGGTGGGGAGCAGAGGGAGCCGCCGGGCCTCCGCCAGCCCCAGAGAAGGGCCCCCACAGCACAGCGGTGGGCTGAAGGGCTCCTGGAGCACCGCCAGAGCAGTTGCTGAGAGCCAGTGAGGGCTGCTAGCACGTTGTCACCTCTCAGTATTAACAATACAAATACTTTTGTCTTATTTGTCCTTTGACTTATTTATAACCAACAGAATGTAGAGAAAGTGATGCTGATGTTGAATGACTCTGGAGGCTAGACCAGAAAATGTTGAAGAGTATCAGAATATACAACCCTAATATATGTTACTTTTGCATAAATTTTATTTTTTAAATTTTTAATTTTTATTTTAAGCTGAAGGCAATTGAGAAAAAGAAGATGCGAGAAGAGCTGTTTACCCTTCCTCTATCTGCTTAAAAGCAAGGAATAAATTTCCATTATAAAGGTGTCCCCTTGTTCTCATACCAAGAAGAGGAGACAGCATCAAGATTACTCTACATAAAGAAACCTAACTAAATAACCCTTTTCTATAATAGTTTCTCCCATGTATTTACCTTCCTACAATTTAATGCCCCTAGAAGCCCAAGCCCCTTTTCTTTGGTTGCTTCCCCACAATTTATCGTACTTTGTTAAAATGGTAGGTAAGCTCCTAAGTGTAACCACTTCTTTGGATTTTTTTAGTTCTTTCTCTGCAGTTCCCATGCATATAAAATATTAACAACAAATAAAATTTGTATGCTCTTCATTCGTTGGTCCTTCTTTTGTCAGTTTAATTCACAAATTAAGCTGCAGAACCTAAGAGGATGGAGGAAAAGTTTTCCTTTCTTACAAGATCATGTGGCATCTGCTTCACTTACTGAGGAGCCCCGAGCCACCATGTATAAAATCTGAATACCCGAAGACCCCCGTACTGTGAGGAAGCCCGACCACATGGAGAGGCCACATGAAGGTTCTCAAATCAGAACCCCACCTGAGGTCCCAGCCTACAACCAGTATCAACCACCAGACATGTGAGTAATGATGTTTCCAGTTGATTCCAACCAACAGCCTTTGGGTCACCTCCAGCCTTTGGATCTTTGCATCTGAAATGCCACACATGACAGAGCAGATACAAGCATTTCTGCTGTGTCCTGTCCAAGTCTCTGACTGATAGAATCTGGGCTTGTTCTAGGCACCTGAGTCTTGAGGTTGTTTGTTACACAGCCTCAGTAACTTGAACAACAGTTATGCAACACTTGAGCTAGACCTTGAAAGATGAATAGGGATTTTTGTCTAGCAAAACTGTTTGGAAAAGGCTTAATATTTTAGGAGAAAAGTTAAAAGGTAAGTGTGGTTAACACATGGGTTGTGGGAGAGAATCAGGAGATGAGATGAAAAAAGTTGATGTAAGAAAGTGTGCTGTATGGTTTGGTGAAAATTATAATATATTTGTTCATCAGCATAGGCAATTTTCTTCCAGACCGCTGGCTTTGAAATGATGTATTTTTAAAATTGCAAAGTTTATACCATAGAATTTCTGGAGGCTTCTGAAATTTCAATTGGAGATAAAACAGGACTTCAAAATGTAACTTCTCCTAAATTATGAGCTATGGTTTAACTGATGAGTAATTTTTAGTTTTATTGTTGGTTAAAAACACACTGTTATTCCCATGAGTGCTCACATCCAGTTTTAGCATGTGTGTGTGTGTTTCTTTTATTTTTTGTTTTGTTTTGTTTTGTTTTGTTTTGTTTTGTTTGCGGTGGGCGGGTTGGTATCAGAGTTATGAATGAGAAGCATTCTTATCAGAATATACTGGATACTAATACATTTTGCGTGTAATTTTCTACAGAGGTATTGATTTTAATCAACTTTCAAGATGAAGCACCACATTTGTCAAGGCAGAAGACCCAAATGTGCAATTTTTTCTTAGGGGAAAACTGGCTATAATGAATGTGCTGAAATATATTAGTTATCTATTAACCTCAACACGCAAGAAAGCACTAGATCATTAGTTTGCCTGGTAAGGGAAAAAACAGGGGCTGCAGCCTGCCCAGCTACAGAAGAAAGTGGAATCAGCAGAACAAGTGGCCTGTGAAGATGCCAGCTTGTGAGAAATGCCTGGCTGACTGTGAACAGGGATATTATTAAATGGATGCATATGATGCATAGCGTAATTATACCACTTATGGCAGAAAAACATCACCATTTTATCAAATGCTCCACTGTGTACATCAAAGATCATGGTATCATCTATCTCTGGGATGCCATGTGAGCTTTGCAGTTCTGGAAGGGCTTCGAGTCAAGTTTTGATTAATTCTTGATGGTTTTATTTGATTATAGAAGTAGAGCTTGAATGTGTGTGTGCGTTTTCCCTTTTTCTTGTAAGAACTGACAATCTTGATTAAATTTCCCTTTTAGGAGTGGGAATGGAGAAGAATGGCTTATAGTGTTTTGAACATATCGTCTCAAAATAACCTCTTCGGAAGATTAGTGGAAAGAAGCAAAACTGTGAAGACCTTGGTTCACAGTAGCTGTTGATGTTTCTTTTTTTCATTTTGGTATTGATTATAATCGCTTCTTCATAAAGCTCAGATGCAGGGTTTATTTCCAGTTCTTTCACCGTGCTTCTTACCTCAGAGTCAAACCATTGCTATACTCTCCACATAGTTGGTTTCCAGTGTTTAAATTGCATGCGTGAGGTGCTCAGGTTTGTGACATTGCTTTACATATATTACTGTAAAAAAAAAACATAACCCCAAATCTAGAGTATATAAGGCTTTGTGCTAAGCAAGCATGGAAAAGAGTTACTTATGGCTTATATCCATGTGTGGACTATGATTGATAGAATTTCCCTTGCAATTGCCAAAGAGAAGTCTACATGGTCTTTGAAGAAACAAATTACCTATGACCCCATGTATTTGCATTTGTGCTCTTCCTAACTATATAGTAGTCTGAATTTAGTCCCCCAACGTAGGGGGATGTTTTAATGGACAAGCACTTAATTCATTTCAAGGTTTTGAGGATTTATCTTATAAGCACTTACTAAGCAGTGGTTATGTCCCAAGGCCAGGGCTGCACCCTGGAGACTCAGGGAGGCACAATACTTGATTTCATGGATCTCATAATCTAGTGCTATGGAAACATTAAAATATTAAAACCACAGTGGAGAAGAGCAGTGGATAGGTCTTAGGGAAGAAGACTTGTATGAAAGGTGATGCCTGAAATCATACTTAGTCATCTTTACATAGGACGATTTTTATGGAAGAATGAAATCTTCAGGATTGAATGATATTTTCATTTTAGCAAACTGGCCATCTCTTTTCTTTGAGCTTATAAACATGGTTGAATGTGTCAAGTAGCGAGACAAGAAAAAAATACCTTTGAGTGACCTTGCTTTATTATGTGAAAAATGACAAACTGGCAGGCAGGAAAGATACATGGCTTACCATGTATCTTTCAATTTTTGGGATGTACTAAAAAATTCAATGCAGTTACCACATAGAAGCAAGAGCTAGAGAAGTTCTGAGAGAATTTTTAATCTTTAGGTCAGACAGCAAGGATGTGAGGCGGTGAAGTTAAATTACACTGAGTCACATTGACGTTGACTAGTCTGATAGATACAGAAACACACAATTACCTTCACTCACAGAGTTTCCTAGGGCTGCAGGAACAAAGCGCCATAAGCTCGGTGGCTCAAAACATTTGGAAATGGTTCTCTCACAGAGTCACAGCCACGGAAGCTCCAAGTCTGAACTCAAGGTGTTGGCAGGGCTGTGTTCCCTCTGGAGGCCCTACGGAGGCCCCTTCCTCGTCTCCAGCTTCTGGTGGCTTCAAGTGTCCCGTAGTTTGTGACAGCAACACTCCAATCTCTGCCTCTGTCTTCACATGGCCTTCTCTGTGCATCTGTGTGTGTCAAATCTTTGTCTGTCTTTGTCTTATAAGGACACTTATTGGATTTAGGGACCACATGGATAATCCAAGATAACCTCATTTCAAAACCCTTAATTTTATAACATTGGCAAGACTTTGTTTGTTTGTTTGTTTGTTTTGCAAATAAGGCCATAGTCACAGGTTCCGGATGGATATATCATTTGAGGGGAGACAATTCAACTCACTATATACACAAACACATGTGTGTATCTATATAGCTGTATAATTGACACCATGAAATCATTAATAAAAACACTGCCCTTTTTTGAGACAGAGTCTCGCTCTGTCGCCCAGGCTGGAGTGCAGTGGCGCGATCTCGGCTCACTGCAACCTCCACCTCCCGGATTCAAGCAATTCTCCTGCCTCAGCCTCCCAAGTAGCTGGGATTACAAGCGCCCGCCACCACGCCTGGCTAATTTTTGTATTTTTAGTAGAGACGGGGTTTCACCATGTTGGCCAGGCTGGTCTCAATCTCTTGACCTGGTGATCCACCTGCCTTGGCCTCCCAAAGTGCTGGGATTCCAGATGTAAGCTACCCCTCCCATATAAAACACTGCCCTTTCTATAGAAAAACTGGTCAAGTACTGGACAGTTTACTACAAAAGAAACAGTAAGTAGATAAAAAATGAAACCTAGGTTCAAAAGCATGAATAATGAATCTTGATTTTAATGATGGTTTCATCAGTGTATGCATATGTCCAAACTTATCAAATTGTACACTAAATATGTGTAGTTTTTTATATTGATTTTACCTCAACAAAGCTATTATAAATACAAATAATAAAAAGTGCAAATAAATTGACAAGATACAAATATATTTAAATATCAAAATGATAGAGATTAAAAAACTGTGCTGCTGGCCAGGTGCGGTGGCTCACGCCTGTAATTCCAGCACTTTGGGAGGCCAAAGCGGGTGGATCACCTGAGGTCAGGAGTTTGAGACCAGCCTGGCCAACATGGTGAAACCACATCTCTACTAAAAATACAAAAATTAGCTGGGCATGATGGTGCACGCCTGTGATCCCAACTACTTGGGAGGCTGAGGCAGGAGAATCGCTTGAACCTGGGAGGCAGAAGTTGCAGTGAGCTGAGATCAGGCCGCTGTACTCCAGCCTGGGCAACAGAATGAGGCTCCATCTCAAAAAAACGACAGACAAACAAAAAACAGTGCTGTTGAGTGTGCATTGAGACAGGCATTTTCCAACACTGCCTTTCTGGAAGCAGGGAGGAGAGGCACAGAAATTTCAGCAAGGGTAAAGTCTTCATCCTGCAACCATATTTCTAGGAGTCTAGATAATTCGATATACAGGTAAAGTCACAGCATTTATTTAATCATGTTAATTAGTTATGTAACATATAATAAAATAATATTGTATGTTAATACATAATATAAATATATTATGCTAATACATTGATATATACACACTTAGTCCTTCTATCTGTTACTAAAGGGAGCTCACGTGGCACCAACAAGGAAACACACACTTAGTCCTTCTATCTGTTACTAAAGCGAGCTCACGTGACATCAACAAGGAAACACACTTAGTCCTTCTATCTGTTACTAAAGGGAGTTCACGTGACATCAGCAAGGAAACACAGTCTTATCTGTTACTAAAGCGAGCTCACGCGACATCAACAAGGAAACACAGTTAGTCCTTCTATCTGTTACTAAAGGGAGCTCACGAGACATCAACAAGGAAACACAGTTAGTCCTTCTATCTGTTACTAAAGGGAGCTCAAGTGACATCAACAAGGAAACACACTTAGTCCTTCCATCTGTTACTACAGGGAGCTCATGTGACATCAGCAAGGAAACACAGTCCTTCTATCTATTACTAAACGGAGCTCACGTGACATCAGCAAGGAAACACAGTACTATCTGTTACTAAAGGGAGCTCACGTGACATCAAAAACGAAACACACTTAGTCCTTCTATCTGTTACTAAAGGGAGCTCACGCGACATCAACAAGGAAACACAGTCCTTCTATCTGTTACTAAAGGGAGCTCACGTGACATCAACAAGGAAACAAACTTAGTCCTTCTATCCGTTACTAAAGTGAGCTCATGTGACATCAACAAGGAAACACAGTTAGTCCTTCTATCTGTTACTAAAGCAAGCTCACCTGACAACAACAAGAAAATACACACTTAGTCCTTTGTATCTGTTACTCAAGCGAGCTCATGACATCAACAAGGAAACACACACTTACTCCTTCTGTTACTAAAGGGAGCTCATGTGACATCAACAAGGAAACACACAGTTAGTCCTTCTATCTGTTGCTAAAGGGAGCTCATGTGACATCAACAAGGAAACACAGTTTGTCCTTCTATCTGTTATTAAAGGGAGCCCACGCGACATCAACAAGGAAACACAATCAGTCCTTCTATCTGTTACTAAAGGGAGCTCACGTGACATCAGCCAGGAAACACACTTAGTCCTTCTATCTGTTACTAAAGGGAGTTCACATGACATCAGCAAGGAAACACAGCCCTTCTATCTGTTACTAAAGGGAGCTCACGCGACATCAACAAGGAAACACAGTCCTTCTATCTGTTACTAAAGCGAGCTCACATGACATCAACAAGGAAACACAGTTAGTCCCTCTCTCTGTTACTAAAGCGAGCTCACGTGACATCAACAAGGAAACACACTTAGTCCTTCTATCTGTTACTAAAGGGAGTTCACGTGACATCAGCAAGGAAACACAGTTAGTCCTTCTATCTGTTACTAAAGGGAGCTCACGAGACATCAACAAGGAAACACAGTTAGTCCTTCTATCTGTTACTAAAGGGAGCTCAAGTGACATCAACAAGGAAACACACTTAGTCCTTCCATCTGTTACTAAAGGGAGCTCACGTGACATCAGCAAGGAAACACAGTCCTTCTATCTATTACTAAACGGAGCTCACGTGACATCAGCAAGGAAACACAGTCCTATCTGTTACTAAAGGGAGCTCACGTGACATCAAAAACGAAACACACTTAGTCCTTCTATCTGTTACTAAAGGGAGCTCACGTGACATCAACAAGGAAACACAGTCCTTCTATCTGTTACTAAAGGGAGCTCACGTGACATCAACAAGGAAACAAACTTAGTCCTTCTATCCGTTACTAAAGTGAGCTCACGTGACATCAGCAAGGAAACACACTTAGTCCTTCTATCTGTTACTAAAACGAGCTCACCCGACATCAACAAGGAAACATAGTCCTTCTATCTGTTACTAAAGGGGGCTCAGGCAACATCAACAAGGAAACACAGTTAGTCCTTCTATCTGTTACTAAAGGGGGCTCACGTGACATCAACAAGGAAACACACTTAGTCCTTCTATCTGTTACTGAAGGGAGCTCACGCGGCATCAACAAGGAAACACACTTAGTCCTTCTATCTGTTACTAAAGGGAGCTCACGTGACATCAGCAAGGAAACACACTTAGTCCTTCTATCTGTTACTAAAGCGAGCTCACATGACATCAACAAGGAAACACACTTAGTCCTTCTATCTGTTACTAAAGGGAGCTCACGCGACATCAACAAGGAAACACACTTAGTCCTTCTATCTGTTACTAAAGGGAGTTCACGTGACCTCAGCAAGGAAACACAGTCTTATCTGTTACTAAAGTGAGCTCACATGACATCAACAAGGAAATAGACTTAGTCCTTCTATCTGTTGCTAAAGGGGGCTCACGTGACTTCAACAAGGAAACACAGTTAGTCCTTCTATCTGTTACTAAAGCGAGCTCACATGACATCAACAAGGAAACACACTTAGTCCTTCTATCTGTTACTAAAGGGGGCTCACGTGGCATCAACAAGGAAACACAGTTAGTCCTTCTATCTGTTACTAAAGCGAGCTCACGTGACATCAGCAAGGAAACACACTTAGTCCTTCTATCTGTTACTAAAACGAGCTCACCCGACATCAACAAGGAAACATAGTCCTTCTATCTGTTACTAAAGGGGGCTCAGGCAACATCAACAAGGAAACACAGTTAGTCCTTCTATCTGTTACTAAAGGGGGCTCACGTGACATCAACAAGGAAACACACTTAGTCCTTCTATCTGTTACTGAAGGGAGCTCACGCGGCATCAACAAGGAAACACACTTAGTCCTTCTATCTGTTACTAAAGGGAGCTCACGTGACATCAGCAAGGAAACACACTTAGTCCTTCTATCTGTTACTAAAGCGAGCTCACGCGACATCAAAAAGGAAGCACAATCCTTCTATCTGTTACTAAAGGGAGCTCACGCAACATCAACAAGGAAACAAAGTTAGTCCTTCTATCTGTTAATAAAGGGTGCTCACGTGACATCAAGAAGGAAACACAGTTAGTCCTTCTATCTGTTACTAAAGCGAGCTCACATGACATCAACAAGGAAACACAGTCCTTCTATCTGTTACTAAAGGGGGCTCACGTGGCATCAACAAGGAAACACAGTTAGTCCTTCTATCTGTTACTAAAGCGAGCTCACGCGACATCAACAAGGAAACACACTTAGTCCTTCTATCTGTTACTAAAGGGAGCTCACGTGGCATCAACAAGGAAACACAGTTAGTCCTTCTATCTGTTACTAAAGCGAGCTCACGTGACATCAGCAAGGAAACACACTTAGTCCTTCTATCTGTTACTAAAACGAGCTCACCCGACATCAACAAGGAAACATAGTCCTTCTATCTGTTACTAAAGGGGGCTCAGGCAACATCAACAAGGAAACACAGTTAGTCCTTCTATCTGTTACTAAAGGGGGCTCACGTGACATCAACAAGGAAACACACTTAGTCCTTCTATCTGTTACTGAAGGGAGCTCACGCGGCATCAACAAGGAAACACACTTAGTCCTTCTATCTGTTACTAAAGGGAGCTCACGTGACATCAGCAAGGAAACACACTTAGTCCTTCTATCTGTTACTAAAGCGAGCTCACGCGACATCAAAAAGGAAGCACAATCCTTCTATCTGTTACTAAAGGGAGCTCACGCAACATCAACAAGGAAACAAAGTTAGTCCTTCTATCTGTTAATAAAGGGTGCTCACGTGACATCAAGAAGGAAACACAGTTAGTCCTTCTATCTGTTACTAAAGCGAGCTCACATGACATCAACAAGGAAACACAGTCCTTCTATCTGTTACTAAAGGGGGCTCACGTGGCATCAACAAGGAAACACAGTTAGTCCTTCTATCTGTTACTAAAGCGAGCTCACGCGACATCAACAAGGAAACACACTTAGTCCTTCTATCTGTTACTAAAGGGAGCTCACGTGGCATCAACAAGGAAACACAGTTAGTCCTTCTATCTGTTACTAAAGCGAGCTCACGTGACATCAGCAAGGAAACACACTTAGTCCTTCTATCTGTTACTAAAACGAGCTCACCCGACATCAACAAGGAAACATAGTCCTTCTATCTGTTACTAAAGGGGGCTCAGGCAACATCAACAAGGAAACACACTTAGACCTTCTATCTGTTACTAAAGCGAGCTCACGTGACATCAACAAGGAAACACACTTAGTCCTTCTATCTGTTACTAAATCGAGCTCACGCGACATCAACAAGGAAACACAGTCCTTCTTTCTGTTACTAAAGGGGGCTCACGTGACATCAACAAGGAAACACACTTAGTCCTTCTATCTGTTACTAAAGCGAGCTCATGTGACATCAACAAGGAAACACACTTAGTCCTTCTATCTGTTACTAAAGTGAGCTCACGCGACATCAACAAGGAAACACAGTCCTTCTATCTGTTACTAAAGGGGGCTCACGTGACATCAACAAGGATACACACTTAGTCCTTCTGTTACTAAAGCGAGCTCATGCGACATCAACAAGGAAACACAGTCCTTCTATCTGTTACTAACGCGAACTCACGTGATATCAACAAGGAAACACACTTAGTCCTTCTATCTGTTACTAAAGCGAGCTCACGCGACATCAGCAAGGAAACACAGTCCTTCTATCTGTTACTAAAGGGGGCTCATGTGACATCAACAAGGAAACACACTTAGTCCTATCTGTTACTAAAGCGAGCTCATGTGACATCAACAAGGAAACACACTTAGTCCTTCTATCTGTTACTAAAGCGAGCTCACGCGATATCAACAAGGAAACACAGTCCTTCTATCTGTTACTAAAGGGGGCTCACGTGACATGAACAAGGAAACACACTTAGTCCTTCTATCTGTTACTAAAGGGAGCTCACGTGACATCAGCAAGAAAACACAGTCCTTCTATCTGTTACTAAAGGTAGCTCACGTGACATCAGCAAGGAAACACAGTCCTTCTATCTGTTACTAAAGGGAGCTCACGTGACATCAGCAAGGAAACACAGTCCTTCTGTCTGTTACTAAAGGGAGCTCACGCGACATCAACAAGGAAACACAGTCCTTCTATCTGTTACTAAAGGGAGCTCATGTGACATCAGCAAGTAAACACACTTAGTCCTTCTGTCTGTTACTAAAGGGAGCTCACGTGACATCAGCAAGGAAACACAGTCCTTCTATCTGTTACTAAAGGGAGCTCACGCGACATCAACAAGGAAACACAGTCCTTCTATCCGTTACTAAAGCGAGGTCACGTGACATCAACAAGGAAACATACAGTTAGTCCTTTGTATCTGTGATTTGTGCATGTGCTGATTCAAGCAACCACGAGTCAAAAATATTTGCAAAAAAAGCCCTTTAAACTGTATTGAACATATACAAAGTTTTTCTTTTTATTATTCTCTAAATGACACAGCGTAACAACGATTTGCATAGCATTTACATTGTAGTAGGTGTTACCAGTAATCTAGAGATGATTTAAAGTATAGGGAGAATGTGCATAGTCTACGCTGAATACTACACAACTGCATATCAGGGACTTGAGCGTCTAGGGATTCTGGTATCTGGGGGAGGTCCTGGATCCAATTTCTCATGAATATCGACAGATGACTGTATGTTGTATCTTGATGCAATGAATAAACAAAGCAGATAACAGTAACTGACATGGGGTAGAAGGTGAGGGGAAATGAAGGGGTTGCTATTTATATGTTTACATGGGATGAACAGGGCAGACCCCACAGAGGGGATATTTAACAGAAGCTAAACGTACGAGAAGCAGTCCTGAGAACTGTAGACCAAGAGAGCTCGTGGTGGCCCTGGGAAGGGGCTTGTCAGATCTCGTGGCCCCTAGGGGCTGGTGACTGTTAGCGGCTGGCCAACAGCCAGCTGCCGCCCTGAAATCTACCACTGTCAGCCGGTAACCCAGCATGGTGGAGTATAAAGGCAGGCCTGCTGCGAGGAGATGAAAGACTCCTCTGCTGGGCAGCCTGGGCTGGAGGGTTCTACTACCAGCCTTGCCAAAAGTTTCTCAGAATTGCACTGCATTTTAAGACTTTGCCTGCCCAGCCCCCTGCAGCCCCTTCTCATTTTCCTCCACATGCACTTCTCCCAAATAATCTCTTGAGTGGCAAATACCATTCCGGTGTTTGCTGCTCCAAGAGCCCAGATGTACACAGTGTTCCAAGAGAGGCTGCACAAATACAGTGGCCCCGAGGAGCTTGGCATTTTCGAGGAGCATCAAGGAGGCCAGCGTGGCGTTCATGGAAAGGACAGAGGGAGAGTGGGAGATGAGGTCAGAAATGTACTTGAAGTCCTTGCCGAAGAAAAATCGTTGACTTGCTTATTATAAAACCCTTTTTGTTAAGGAAGAAATAAAAACTGTTAACCAATGGCATCTGTATCCATTACAGAATTTAAAGGCAGGGTATCATACAGCCAGTACCTTACAGTCTTCCCATTAGCAGCATTCAACACATCTGTCCAGGTAGTAAACCTAAGTGGCCCAGCTCTGGGCCATTAAATTTTGATGTAACCCATTAAGGAAACTTACGGCCTTAGTTCAAAGGGCTGTTGCCATTGTGTCTGTGAGAGCAGTGCTGCAGAGTGCATTTTATGCAAATCTCATAGATTTTAATGAGTGCTCCTGCTTAATAAGCTAGTTAGACCATTTGGGCATTTACTTGAGAGTGACCACAAATGCCTTTTTCTGAAACCATTTTACAGTGCTAACATTTCACTGAAATAGCACTTAACACGGAGCCAGGCACACAGTGAGCACTAAGAGTGTTACGTGACTGATGACAGGGATGAAGAACAGGAGTCTTACCAGGTGTGTCAGTCTCGATGCTCCTGAATGACCCAGACAAAAAGGGACTAGAAACTTTCTTTTCAGGAGTTTGTGGCTTAGATCCCTGTTTCACCACAAAGCATGAGCTTGACACAGCCTGGACTTGACAGCACTTTCCACAGGGCACTTAAAAATACTTGTACCTCCTCTCTTTTACCTCCATAAACCATGACAGGTCTTTGCTCAGCCTCTGATAAGCAAAAGATTAGAAAATCCCTTTAAACTTCAGAAACAGAGCAATGCTCAGTCAGGCGATAAAAGCTGCAGAAATTGGTCTTGAATATTATCACTGTGTATCAACTGAAGTCAGATGAAGAGCTCCACATTCATCCAAAGTTCTTTTCATACTAATTAGATGCTCTTCAAAGGTGTAATTACCATTTAAAAATGACTTTGGAGTGCAGGATACACAATAGATTTTTAATGTCTTTTAATTTATTTCGATGTTTCTCATATTTCATTAGTACGTTCTTATTTTACCAATGAGTCACAGGACTTTCAAGGACTTTTCCCTCTCCCACAGTTAAAATGCTAAGCAGAAGCTAAGCTCACGTGAAAAACTTGTCTCAATAACCAGAGAAAGACTATACTAATTACAATTTGGATTGTGTGGATTATCAATTTGTCCGATACTCCGTTTGCCTCCACCTTGAGGAGAGAACTATTTCCAGCCCCAGAGTCAAGCTGCCTCATTGCACGGAAGAGGGAGTAAAATAAGAAGCCTGGTGATGTGCTTATTGTCACAATTTGTGGTACAGCTGACACTTAGACTACATCTGCCCTTGAAGCTCAACTTCTTTGCCCTACTCCTGTGGTGTTTCTTGGCATCTGGTATCATTTCAAAAGGATAAGAATGGCATAGAGAAGGTTTCTCATTGCTAAGCATGGAGTAGGAATATTTTAGTGAAATGTGTAAGTTTTGGGGCGGAAGTAAAAACACCCCATCTGCTCTTCCACACTTGGAGAGAGCTGCACACAAAGCAGCAACTTGGCTCTGGGCGGCAGCTGGCTGAGGTCTCATGGTCTGGAGGACAGCCCCTGGCTTTCACATCGTCCGTGTCTTGCCATTTCTCTTTGGATAAGGCACAAATGTCTGAAGATATCCTCCAGGCCCGAGGACCTGCTCCTATTCTATCCAGTCTCGTCTTTCATGAGCCACTGTGCTTCAGCCACTGCTTTTCCTTCCACCCCTTTGTCTTTCCTTTTTCCCAGGTATAAGGCCTTTGCACTTTCTAAACCCTCTCCTGCGTCTAGTGGGGACTTGGAGAATCTTTGTGTCTCCCTAAGGGATTGTGGATGTACCAATCAGCAACCTGTGTCTAGCTCAAGGTTTGTAAATGCACCAATCAGTGCTTTGTGTCTAGCTAACCTAGTGGGGACTTGGAGAACTTTTGTGTCTAGCTCAGGGATTGTAAATGCACCAATCAGCACCCTGTCAAAATGGACCAATCAGCTCTCTGTAAAATAGACAAATCAGCTCTCTGTAAAATGGACCAATCAGCAAGGTGTAGGTGGGGCCAGATAAGGGAATAAAAGTAGGCTGTCTGAGCCAGCAGTGGTAACCTGCTAGGGTCCCCTTCTGCACTGTGGAAGCTTTGTTGTTTTGCTCTTTGCAATAAATCTTGTTTCTGCTCACTCTTTGGGTCCACATTGCCTTTATGAGCTCTAACACTCATCGCGAAGGTCTACAGCTTCATTCCTGAGCCAGCCAGACCACGAACCCACCAGGAGGAATGAGCAACTCCAGACAAGAGGAAGGAGCAAACTCCGGACACACCGCCTTTAAGAACTGTAACGCTCACTGCGAGGGTCCGTGGCTTCATTCTTGGAGTCAGTGAGACCAAGAACTCACCAATTCCTGACACAAAGAGAGGCCTAAGAAACCATCTAGGCCAATGCTATGGTTTTGGAGTTCAGGACATTGTGGCTTAGAGACAATAATGGATCTGCCTAAAATCACAACACAAACTAGTACCAGTTCTTGAATGAAAATGTAGGTCTTCTGATTCCTAGCCAAATGCTTTTTATAAGAATGAAAATTTTGTGTCCTTGGAAGGCCTAAGGCATTTTCCCAGAGTAACTTAGAAGAGTCGGGCTCCATGAATAATTTAGTAATATAGAAATAAGATTTTTTAAAATGTCTAAAATTGACTGCATGACCCTGGATATAAAGTATAAAAGCAGAAGACAGATGTGATGTGAGGCTGGCAACAAGTCGTGCCATGCTCTATGTACCCACACTAAAAGACAATATCCTTTCCACCTTACATACTTTATGGCAGTATAAGCATGTTAAGTATGCAAATCCTACAATGCTGGCAACATTTCAAGACTAGTTGTGTCACGGTGTTCATAAGCCTGGGAGCTCACTAAGCTACAGAGCTCTTAAAACGTAGAAGTAGAAGAGGTAGAAAAAAAAAAGGAATCACACTCCTTATTACTGTAAACCAAAGAAAAAATATTTACATTTTCAGCATTCTGTTGGGTAGGAAAAAAGCTTTTCCTATCCCATCTTACATGTTGTGCTGGAGCCTGTGAATTAAATTGAAAAAACAACAGCAACAAAAATTAACAAGAGGCAAAAGCACACACATGTAATTGATGTTTTCATGTTACATGCGTGCTGGCTACACATAAGATAAGTGAAAAACTCAAAACACTGGTTAGACTCAGGGGCTTATAAACGATGTGTGTAATTCTGGAATAGATCCTACTGACCTTGAAGCAGGCCCAATACTCCCACAGCGTGTTCTTTTGTATAAACATAGACATTGACTCTTCCGCTCTTAAAGCTTGAAACTTGTATTTGTTTCATCTGAGTTCTTTCCTCAGGAAAGGACCTTCAGGCCTCTCCAAAAAAAAAAAAAAAAGCATTAAAGAACTGAAACTCACCAGATGAGACCTCCTTGTTCCTCCCTAGTTCGTGTTTCCTACACATTGTTACATTTCTTGCCTGTTGTATAAAACCCCATTTTTAGTCAGTCAGGGCGATGGATTTGAGGCTGAGCTCCCATCTCCTCAGCTGCAGCACCAGATGAAAGCTTCTTCCCTGGAAACACTCACCATCTCAGTGATTGGCTTTCTGTGCAGTGAGCAGCAGGACTTAGACCAAACCCATGGTGTTTTGGTAACAACCTCACCAAAATAGATGGGCACACACACAAGCCTTTAAAGATACAAAGTTAAACGGATAGTATGGATCATTCAGTATAGAGGAAACAGCATAGCAAATGTATAGAGACGGAAAATTACTAGATATGTTCCAGGAGCAACATGCAAATTCCACTGCCAGTTTTGGCTGTGAGGTCAAACAGATCTGATCTGAATGTTTGCATTCCTCCAAAATTCATACATTGAAACCTAATTCCCAATGCAATAACATTAAGAGGTGGGGTCTCTAGGAGGTGACCAGGTCATAAGGGTGGACCCTTCATGAATGGGTTTAGTACCCTTATAAAAATGTCTGAGAGAGCTTGCTTGTTTCTTCTGCCATATGAGGACATAGAGAAAACTCCATCTATGATGAATGGGCCCTCAGCAGGCACCGAGTCCACTGCTGCCATATGAGGACATACAGAAGACTCCATCCATGATGCATGGGCCCTCAGCAGGCACCAATTCTACTGCCGCCATATGAGGACATACAGAAGACTCCATCCATGAATTGGCTCTCAGCAGGCACCGAGTCTACTGCTGCCATATGAGGACATACAGAAGAATCCATCCATGATGCATGGGCCCTCAGCAGGCACCGATTCTACTGCTGCCTTGAGCTTGGACCTCTGGCCTCCAGAACTACTAGCAATACATTTCTGTTGTTTTATAAATTACCTAGTCTAAGGTACATTGCAGCAGAAATGGACTGAGAGAGACATCTTTCAGAGAATTACCTCTGTTTGTTTGTCTGTTTCTGTTTTGTAAAACTGGAAGAAGAATAGAACTTACAGTTCTGTGGTATAAGATTGTGTCCAGAATTGGTGGGTTCTTGGTCTCACTGACTTCAAGAATGAAGCTACAGACCCTCAAGGTGAGTGTTACAGTTCTTAAAGGCGGCGTGTCTGGAGTCTGTTCCTTCTGATGTTCAGATGTGTTGGGAGTTTCTTCCTTCTGGTGGGTTTGTGGTCTTGCTGGCTCAGGAGTGAAGCTGCAGACCTTCGCGGTGAGTGTTACAGCTCTTGGGGCAGTGTGTCTAGAGTTGTTCGTTCCTCCTGGTGGGCTCCTGGTATCGCTGGCTTCAGGAGTGAAGCTGCAGACCTTCACGGTGAGTGTTACAGCTCATAAAGGTAGTGTGGACCCAAAGAGTGAGCAGTAGCAAGCTTTATTGCAAAGAGCAAAAGAACAAAGCTTCCACAGTGTGGAAGGGGACCCCAGCAGATTGAAGCTTCTGGCTCGGGTAGCCTGCTTTTATTCTCTTATCTGGCCCCACCCACATCCTGCTGATTGGTCCATTTTACAGAGAGCCGATTGGTCTGTTTCACAAAGAGCTGATTGGTCAGTTTTGACAGGGTGCTGATTGGTTCGTTTACAATCCCTGAGCTAGACACAAAAGTTCTCCACATCCCCACTAGATTAGCTAGATAGAGTGTCGATTGGTGTATTTACAAACCCTGAGCTAGACAGAGTGCTGATTGGTGCATTTACAAACCTTGAGCTAGATACAGCGTGTCAATTGTTGCATTCACAATCCCTTAGCTAGACATAAAGGTTCTCCAAGTCCTCACCAGATTAACTAGATACAGAGTGCTGATTGGTGCATTCACAAACCCTGAGCTAGACGCAGGGTGCTGATTGGTGTGTTTACAAACCTTGAGCTAGATACAGAGTGCTGATTGGTGTATTTACAATCACTTAGCTAGACATAAAGATTCTCCAAGTCCCCACCAGACTCAGGAGCACAGCTGGCTTCACCCAGTGGATCCTGCACCAGGGCCGCAGGTGGAGCTGCCCGCCACTTCCGCACTATGAGCCCGCACTCCTCAGCCCTTGGGCGGTCGATGGGACTAGGCACAGCCCTGGAGCAGGGAGGGCCCCTTGTCGGGGAGGCTCAGGCTGCACAGGAGCCCATGTGGGGGTGCGGCGGGGGAGGCAGGCTCAGGCATGGTGGGCTGCAGGTCCCAAGCCCTGCCCTGCCGGAGGCAGCTAAGGCCCAGCAAGAAGTCGAGCACAACAGCTGGTGGCCCAGGTGCTAAGCCCACTGCCCGGGGCTTGTGGGCAGGCTGGTGGCTCTGAGTGCGGGGCTCGCCGAGCCCACGCCCACCGGGAACTCGTGCTGGCCCTCAAGCACCGTGAACAGCCCCGGTTCCCGCCTGTGTCTGTCCCTCCACACCTCCCTGCAAGCTGAGGGAGCCGGCTCCAGCCTTGGCCAGCCCAGAAAGAAGCTCCCACAGTGCAGTGGCGGGCTGAAGGGCTCCTCAAGCATGGCCAGAGTGGGCGCCAAGGCTGAGGAGGCACAGAGAGCGAGCCAGGGCTGCGAGGGCTGCCAGCACGCTGTCACCTCTCAAGATAAAATGAAATAAATGGATATGAAGTTCTCAGCACAGTGCCTAGAAAACAATAAGATCAGCAAATGTTAGCAACCATAATAATAATTATCATTAGTTGCTGCAGTAGAGAGTTTATGTAGAAAACTAGAAGGATGTAGGCTAGTAAATGGTCAGGTCCTATCAGAAAACCATCCATTATAATGTGTGATATCAAATCTACTGTATCTCAAGTATAAGTTCAAAAAATGTTCAGAAGTCAAGCTCTTTCAAGAAAGGTCAATAACACCTATCATTGGCTCATCATCATGGTCCTTCAATCAGCTCTCTCCTCATTAGGAAATTTGCTATCTGTGAGAAAAGGAGTCTCCTTAATGGGAAAACGTGCTTTGGATTTCCGCTTGATGGGAGGCACTGAATACTAGTGAATTTTGCTTTGTGGCAATTAAATTGAAAGGTCAAAATATGCTAGTTTGGATTCATTTCTAACGTGGCAGATAACTACCAAAATTGCAACTATCACTAAAGCACTTTGATGTACATATGCAACAAAGGCAGAAAACTGCTCTGAATGTCTCCTAAATCAAATATGTCTCTTGTGTATCTTACAAGTAAAAATATCGTTTTAAGCGTTTCTTTAATGTGGAAAATTTTGCTAAGAAACAAGAGATGCCCACTAGTTTGATTTGCAGTTACATCCACTTTCATCAGCTGTTATGGTTACTGATAATTCTTGGCAAGAGTGTTTAACTCATATGATGTAATATTCAGCTTTTTAGTAAAGTTATTCTTTATATGCCTTATCCCAAATCCCAGCATACACTCTCTTCAGAGGCCATGTTTTGTGTTTGTCTCCATGCCAAAAGTAGTCATAATGGAATTCAATGCACATAGACGAAAGCTGGTTGAATAAATTGCACCTATAACCAAGAAGATCAAACATGCTTCCTAGTCTACAGGGTATTTTGCACGTAATATTGGAAGAGAGACTGTGGAGTATCTGACACATTGATATAACCTCCAGTTGCTAGATGCCTAGTAACTCCGTGCACGAAAAGAGTGTTTCAAGAGATTCTTTCATAAACAGAAGTTGCACAAAATGACCACAGGTCGCTCGAAACCCTAAATATCTATGATATTCTACCAATGCTATATTCACAAACGTGTCTTAACGGTTCTCACCGGATTCTATTTTACTCACTTTTGAAAGGTCACCTAATTTTTTAAAGTGAGCTAATTACTGTAGTGAGTAAAATAGTCTTGAATGATTGCAGGTGGCAATACTATCCTATTACCCTTCTAAAGGCTAAGGTGACACCAATTAAATTAAGGGTGACTGATAATTCTTTTTTATTACTACACCTGTATTCATATTTATATACTTTTCATTAATGCTCCTGGAGTCAGTTAAAAGATAAAGGGGAACTAAACTCAGCTCATTAATAAAATTTAAAAGTTGGTTTCCAGACTCTATATGCTGATTACTCTCTGCCACCACGAAGGCATTTTAAAGCAGCACAGATGAGCACATAAGCAACGAAAACAGACTTTCCACAAATAAACCTTGAAAAAGAAAAAAAAAGGCAAGATAAACAAGATCAGCAGGCCAGCAGTCTTGTCAATTCTTCACTGTCCCAGTGGTACTTTCAACTCATTAATGTTGGCTGCTGTGTTCTCAGGTGACTTGCTGGTATAAATGCCTCATTGTCTGGTAACCAAAGGGAACAGCATTTTATTGCCAGTAACCTGATAAAGAATTTTGAAAACAAGAGACACAGCAGATAATGAGCGTTTTGCATGGGCCCTCTACACTCTATAACCATTCAAGCTTTCCGAGCAGAAAGACATGACCTTTTCAGTCCTTGTGCCTTCTACGCTGTGCAGTGCTAGTCGGTGCCGGGATGAAGCTGACAGAATCCTCCCAAGTGGCTCCAAGCACAAATGAGGTCATCACAATGGAAAGCACTAATCCGACTCATTGTACTTACTCTAAACACATGAGCACTAACAAGTTTCCTCTACTTAAATGTTGCTTTTGTGTGTATGTGTCTGTGTTTGTCTGTCATTTAAAGGTATGACCAGATGCTACCTTGCAGCCTTTTCCTGGTAAACTCTTGGTCATTTTCAACATTTTCCTGACATTCCAGCTGAATAGTTATCATCACTTCAATTTTTAATACAATAATTTAAAGCATTCTATGATTCCAGTTTTCAAAAGGTACAACACACATAAGTACTTCCCTTAAGATGCTGATAACTAGTGAAAACACTATAGTGATAATTCTCTACTAAACAGCAAAATAAAGGCTAAAATGTTATTGATGCTTTCGCATTCTGTAGAGAAAGTGATTTTTCATAGCGTTATTGACTGCATTTCATCTGTTTTGCATATTGTTAATGAACCTTGTTCTCTTTAAAACAAAACAAAACAAAACAAAACATCTTTCTTTAAAAAAAAGAACTCACTTATTTCCTTGACACCAACATACACTATGACTTCCAAATTATGCCACCTCTGGGGAACAGTTTTTCATATCCTCTCAAGTACTTTTTTTTTTTTTTTTTTTTTGAGATGGAGTCTCTCTCTGTTGCCCAGGCTGGAGTACAGTGGTGCAATGTCGGCTCACTGCAACCTCTGCCTCCCAGGTTCAAGTGATTCTCCTGCCTCAGCCTCCTGAGTAGCTGGGATTATAGGCGCCCGCCACCATGCTCGGCTAATTTTTTTGTATTTTTAGTAGAGACAGGGTTTCACCATGTTGGTCAGACTGGTCTCGAACTCCTGACCTGCTGATCCACCTGCCTCGGCCTCCCAAAGGGCTGCGATTACAGGCATGAGCCACTGTGCCCGGCCAGTAATTTTACTCTGTGTGTTACTTGGCATTTTCCACTTTTCTGTTCTCTTTTGTGCATTTGTATTCTATTTTATATTAGTCCATGGTTGTGGCACATATTAAAGATGTTTGTAAATTCTTGTCAAGTAAAATGAATAAACGATCTGATGCCAGTTGTTCTTAAAATTATGTTCCCTCTCAATCTCAGAGGGACTTAATACTCTTCACACTTTTTACCGACTGAATGCAGGAAAATCCCAGGTCATCCATGAAGCCTGTGATTCTGTTGGTTCCATCGTCCAACGTGTCCCAGCTATCATTCAAGAGTGGACATAATGCTCTGCTCCCAGACCACGTCAAAGTGTCCACTCTGGGTGCCCCACGACAACCTACTGGCCAGCACTGACTACCAGACCCTGTTGAAGTGTCCACTCTGGGTGCTCCACGACAACTTACTAGCCAACACTGACTACAGGGCTCTAAACTAAAGGAGAGAACTGTTGGGTGGTTATGCTTGCAATTAGACCCTCCAGGGTGTCTACTACCACTGATGGAAGCAGGGGAAAATAAATATTATACATTCAGAGTTTGGCTACTCCAAAAGAGTAGGAGTCCCCCAAACACTGGGGACTCCTACTGAAGCATCATATATGAGACATATGAAGAGTAGAAAATGTAGGAAACATTGACAAACATGTATTAAGTCACTTCAATATAAGCCTTGGAAAAGTCTAGGAGCTCTATTAGAGATGCATGAATAGAATACAATCAGGGGACATGGTATGACCAGAGTTGAATAAACAGCATTGCTCACTACTCTTCCTGAAAATAATACTAAAAACAGCAAGAATATATTTTAAAATACAATTTCATTTTAAGTTGAACTAGGAGTAAATAGAAATGGACCATAGACTCAAAAGTACATATAGAGACTCTAAACAGCTGAAATCAAGCAAGCCATGGAAGACCAAAGGAAGAAAAGCACAGTGATGGCTTAAAGGCACAGTGGTGGCTGATTTCAGAAAGGGCTGAAGGCCAGGGACTCTGAAATATAAAAGTTGTATTCTTTGTTTGTAATAATGGATTCAGAACCTCTATGGACCGAGGTCATCGAAGACTTTCTGGACCCAGTTTCACTCAGAGAAGGTGATGCTCTACAAAGAGCCGATGACTTAGGTGTATCTGCAGAAGCCACTGAATTCTATGGCAGTGAAGGAGAAGACTGTTGGGTTGTTAAGCTCTTAGCCGTATCTGCAGAAGCCACCAAATCCTATGATGGTGAAGGAGAAGACTTAGCCATATCTGCAGAAGCCACCTAATTCTATGGTGGTGAAGGAGAAGATTTAGCCGTATCTGCAGAAGCCTCCAAATTCTACGGTGGTGAAGGAGAAGATTTAGCCATATCTGCAGAAGCCTCCTAATTCTATGGTGGTGAAGGAGAAGACTTAGCCATATCTGCAGAAGCCACCTAATTCTATGGTGGTGAAGGAGAAGACTTAGCCATATCTGCAGAAGCCACCTAATTCTATGGTGGTGAAAGAGACTTAGCTGTATCTGCAGAAGCCATCTAATTCTACGGTAGTGAAGGAGAAGATTTAGCCGTATCTGCAGAAGCCATCTAATTCTATGGTGGTGAAGGAGAAGATTTAGCCATATCTGCAGAAGCCTCCAAATTCTACGGTGGTGAAGGAGAAGATTTAGCCATATCTGCAGAAGCCTCCTAATTCTATGGTGGTGAAGGAGAAGACTTAGCCATATCTGCAGAAGCCACCTAATTCTATGGTGGTGAAGGAGAAGACTTAGCCATATCTGCAGAAGCCACCTAATTCTATGGTGGTGAAAGAGACTTAGCTGTATCTGCAGAAGCCATCTAATTCTACGGTGGTGAAGGAGAAGATTTAGCCGTATCTGCAGAAGCCATCTAATTCTATGGTGGTGAAGGAGAAGATTTAGCCGTATCTGCAGAAGCCTCCTAATTCTACGGTGGTGAAGGAGAAGACTTAGCTGTATCTGCAGAAGCCATCTAATTCTATGGTGGTGAAGGAGAAGATTTAGCCATATCTGCAGAAGCCATCTAACTCTATGGTGGTGAAGGAGAAGATTGTTGGGTTGCTAAGTTTGCAAGACAACTTTGCCTCCTCCTTTCTTCTTCATAGAAACTTTTCACAAATTATTGGTTCAAAACATTTCAATTAATTCAGTAATTAATAATTATTGATTTATGTAAAGACACTATAAGAAAAAACTATGGGGAAAAATGCAAACTTATCAATGGAGAAAGATCACACAACAAAAATCAATGCCAAAAGCAAGATGAAAATGTTACCCAAATATTTTGCCATGAAATGAAAACTTAATGGAGCTGTCAGATCAAAAATGGAAGACCATGAAGCAGAAATATAAGAACTCAGAGAAAGAAGCGGTGAAACGTTAGAATAAAAAAAATGTGCTGACAAAAACCAGCAAACATGAAGAAAAACCAAGATCTTCATAGAAACGAAGGTGAACCTAGAAGAAGTAGAGAAATTAAAACAGACTTTAGAAAACTCAGTAAGGAACATAGAAAATATAAATAAAAAAGTAAAAGTAAATACAGTAAAATTAAAGGGAAAATCTAAAAATTATTAGAGGGAAAACAGTGGCTATAGAAGATAAGCAGAGACAATCTAAAATATATCAAAAAAGGAAGGTATGGAAAGAAAAAAAAAAAGACAGCATTGAAAGAGCATGAATCCCTTTAAGAACTGATTCAACAAAACTTTTCCAGAATAAAATTAGGTTCCACAGAAAAGGAAACACTAAGAACACCCTACAAAGTTTTAAAGAAACATTAAGGAAAAGATCCTTTAATCAAGCCGCTCTTAAAAAAGAGAATGTAACAGGCTAGTCTCATATTTTTTCCTAGCAAAATTTAATGCCAAGATACAGTGGCCCATTACTTACAAGATATTCAAAAAGTGGAATGAAAACCAAAGGTTTTATACCTAGTCAGGCTACATTTCAAAGTATACTTCAGGCAGTTTTAAATACACACAAACTCAGGGAATATTTTCCTACTTGGGAAAAGTCCCAGAGAACAAACTTTAGCCAACAAAGAGATAACTAAGGAAAAACTATGGTGAAATATTATAATTGTGAATTGTGTTGACTAAAACTAAAATAAACATGAGAACCAGGGTAATAAAATGCATATAAATGCCATATGCCCTGGAAATAAACCAATATCGAAACTAACAAAAAGTGGAAGAAGAAGGAGGAAAGAATGGAAGACATAGGGTAGATCAAGGCTGCTGCATACGATGTTTGTACAGTTTTCAACTTTGAGGGGTCTTGTTTGCTGAGACCCTGACATCATCTGCAGCTCCAGAGCTGAGAGACACGATGTGCACACACACAGGTGGGGGTCTGAGGAGGAGGACTTGGTCAACTCAGCTGTAACAGCCAGGACTCAAAGTGGATCATTCAAAGCAGTAAATCAAATGTTAGAAATAGAAGCGTATGTAATAGCAAAATAACAAATACTAAATAACATGCCACGGATACTCTCATTGACCGAATTCTAGTAGTGAGAGGCCTGGAAGGGAGTAGAAAGAGAAAACACCTAGTTTTAACACAGCGGAAAATAGAGAAGTAATCACTCCTGGGTAAATGAAGAGATCATAAAAATACTGCATAAAGCTGTCATTTAAAAAATTACCACTGAGCAAGTTCCCAGACGAAGCTACCAGAAAAAAGTTTTTCTCAAGCAAATAAATCAGATCACATAGAAAACAACTTTTAAAATTTATGAACACATAAGATGCTATCATATACGCATGAAACACCAAGCATAACTGTTATATCAATAAATATAAATGTAAATATGATATACACATATATAATTAACCATTACTGAAGGACTTGAAAAAGAATTTGATCAGATTTCCAGAGGAGAGGAGCTTGGGATACTCTTTTCCCCGCAGTGAAACAACCGTTTAACTGGTAAAAATTATAAAACACACTTAAAGTCTCTGGAAATTGACCTAAGGGCAGATGCAAATTAATAAGCATTTATTCAAGAAAATCTCCTAAATGTTGATAAAACAGTGGAAGTCTGTGCCCTCTGAGCCAGAGCTAGTTCCTATTCCCTCCTCCAGCTCCATGTCACAGGAGATCTCCACATCACATGATCACACGTCACATGACCAGGAACATGGGAACTCCTTTTCAGCCCCACTCCCAGTCAAAGACGTATGATTACACCCCAGGTGATCTCATCCCCAGACACCACCCCTCTAAGTAAAGGAAATTAGGATGCCATCTCACATCAAGGGGACAGATGAGATGTTTCAACAATGTTGATGTTTGGACAACTAGGAAGATATATGAAAAAATAAAGTTAGATTCATTTCCCACATCACATACCAAAATAAATTCCAAATAAGACAAAAACTTTAATGTGAATAAAAATAAAACTAGGCCGGGCGCGGTGGCTCACGCCTGTAATCCCAGCACTTTGGGAGGCCGAGGCGGGTGGATCATGAGGTCAGGAGATCGAGACCATCCTGGCTAACAAGGTGAAACCCCGTCTCTACTAAAAATACAAAAAAAATTAGCCGGGCGCAGTGGCGGGCGCCTGTAGTCCCAGCTACTCGGGAGGCTGAGGCAGGAGAATGGCGTGAACCCGGGAGGCGGAGCTTGCAGTGAGCCGAGATTGCGCCACTGCAGTCCGCAGTCCGGCCTGGGCGACAGAGCGAGACTCCGTCTCAAAAAAATAAATAAATAAATAAAATAAAATAAAATAAAATAAAATAAAATAAAACCATACAAAAACATAAAATAACATTAAAGAATTTCTTTAAAACCTGGAAGTGAGGATGACCTTTTTATTTCTGAAAATCCAGAATCCATAAAGTATTAACATTTTATCACATACAAATTAAAAATTTCTACATGGCAAAAAATAAGGTATTTGGATCTAAAGACATATAACAAATTGGAGGGCAGACATTTGTAATCATATCACAGATAACGGGTGAATCTCTCTGTATAGGAACTTTTAGAAATGAAGAAGGAAAAGATAAACAACAGAAAAGGATTCAAAGATTAATAGTTCTCAGAAAAATTCAAATAATTTTTTGATAGATGTCAACCTCAGTTATAAAACGAGAAAAGCATTTAAATTACCATGAAATACCATTTTTCACGTTTAGATTGGCAAGAACTAAAAGTTTTATAATATATATCATCAGTAAGGCTGTGGAGTGTAAGCTTTTACTACCTCTATCGAGGGCAATTAGTATCTATCAAAGTTGCAAATACCTGTAATATTTGACAGAGCATTCCCACTTTGGGGTTTATACAACATACTTGAACATGTGTAAAATAATGTATGCATAAGTGTACTCATCAAAGCTATTAACTATTAACAAAAGATTCAAAATAATTTTATTCTTCAATCTTGGACTAGTTAAGTAAATTATTGTCTAAGTTCAGTGGAACGCTATGTCTTCATTTTAAAAATACATAAAGTCTACATACTGACTTATATGAAATATTATTTAGAGAAAAAATAAGGTTTAAAACAGTGTGTTTAATAAACTGTCCTTGCTGTAAAAAGAGAAAACATAAAGGTATACATTTATTGTTGCTTGCATATGCCAACAGAAACCCTAGAAGAACGCAAAAGAAACTAATGACATCAGTAGCCTCATGATGTGGCCATGGGGACTGAAACGAAGACAATCACGAGATTAGGAGGAAGACTTTTCAATGTATACTTTTACACTTTTTAGATATTCAGCCATGTGCATTGATTTCCTACTTCAAAAAACACCCAAATTTTAAAATAAAAGATATAAAATTCAAGATAATATAGATCAAATAATCCATTCACCCTGGCCCAGTCACCACTCCTTCCTCTACAGAAATACGCACCTACAGAGAATTTTTGAAATCCTCTAGAGAAATACACACCTACAGAGAAGTTTTGCAAAAATAAAAATAAAAAAGCAAGAGGCGAAGCAGTGTTTATTACTAGCTGAGATGCTTTTGCCCCGTTAACCCCCACAGGCTGAACCACTTGGAGAAATTGTCCAGCCTTGCATAGACACAGAAATGGGCTCCTCTCTTGAAAGCAATTCTGAACCTCAGTGTTACACCGGGCCCAGAACACAAACACGGGGAAGCAGGGAGAGAAGAGGAATAACAATGCCTCCAAAGACTGGGGTTAACCTAGGCCTTCCCAAGCTGGAGAAGTAGATGAGCACCAGGCTGCCACAGCTAGTAGGGTGCAGGCACTGGCCCCTGAAATTCTCATTCTGTTCCTCCCAAGAAATGTCTGAAGGGAGGTCAATGTCTGCTCAATGATCTTGCCCTTGCGCTCAGAATAAGAAGCTTCTGATTTTTACCCCTTCGAGGCCCCACCTGTAAACAATGTAAACCAATCAGGTATCACAAAACCTGAATGCTACGCCTTATTTTGGGGAAATG
Source organism: Homo sapiens (assembly GCF_000001405.40). Lineage (NCBI taxonomy): Eukaryota > Metazoa > Chordata > Mammalia > Primates > Hominidae > Homo > Homo sapiens. Next base: position 354,230 of record NT_187679.1, read on the forward strand.
AACTTTATTGCTCTTGGTCTACACTCAGCTCTTGTAGACAAGTGGGAGCGTGGGAGACACAAAAGGGTAGAGAAAGAGCCCTGTGCTTACCAGGGAGGCTACTGTGGTGTTTTGGAGGCTAAGTTCAGGAGTTTATCCAGCATAGAAGGCAGGGGTTTAATGCCTCTTATCAATAAATATTTACACATATAACCTACATGCATTGAATCTATAATGTGCATACATTTCTTGTACCTGAAAATATCTAATATTAAACCAAGGAGAAATATAATTATAGATAATATAATACACATAGTTATAGCATACATTTTAGATGAAGCATTTTTGCATGCTAGGGTAGACAATACACACAGTTACAGCATACATCGTAGATGAAGCATTTTTGTATGCTAGGGTAAACACAAAACCTGTTTGCTATGAAGGCCCTGGCAGTCTGTACATCTAGCCAATCATTTGCATACTATTAAATAACACGTTTGCAGTAAAACTAGAAGGCAATAAAGCTGTATCCATGTGTTCTCTAACCTATTTGATCAATGCTGCCATAAGAGCTTCAGAGATTGAATATTTGTGTGGCTCTCAATTTTGCTCACAATTTACGTAAATTAGAAGCTTAAATGTAGGATATTGGTAATAATTTATGTGATCTAACAAACAACTCTCTAAAGTCTTTGGAATATAAGGTCTCTGGATAGCCAAAACTTCTAATTAATTGAGGATTACAACTTTAATCAACAATAATTTTTTTTAATAATTTAAATATTTTGGGTGAAAATCTTTTCAAACAATTTTCAAAGCCTAAAAGCTTTGAATTTGGTTGATAATTTCTAAGTCAACACTATGAACACTGGATTACATATAATAGATATAATCTATGTCATACAAACATGTACACAATAGATATGATGAGGTCTGTTAAACTATGTGGGGTTATTTGCATTGGTCTATTTTTCCACTTACTTTGTGAGTTTTTCTCTCCCTTTCCTTGCTGTCAGTGTCCTCATGTAGCAGCTTTTCTCCTTATTTCTAATTTTCTCATTTTACATCTACTACAGGCTTTGAAATTGCATACTGAAGCTTCTTTAAGTACTATGTAACCTAAGATTAGGCCTTGAAATAAGGGCAAAAGAGATCACTTTCAAGCCACATGTGTGAGATTTGAATGCAGGCCCTTGAGATGATACTTTGGCTGTATACAGGTTTGTTGCTTCCTGCTTTAGGCTACATCTAAAGCAGAGTTTTCTCTGATAAGAGTTTGGGTTAGATTCAACATAACCTTAGAAGAAATGGCTACCCTATTTTATTTATGCTTTGCTTTTTTTACAAAAAAGAAATTTTATTAAAATGTATAGAAAATCATGTGATAAAATATTTTTTAAAAAAAGAAAAGAAAAAAGTGAGGTCTTTGAAATGTAAGGCAAAAGGCAAGAGCAGACAGAGCCAGGTATAAGACTCATCACACAACACAAGCCAACAACCCTCCATCTTTGCCAGAGATGAGGAACAAAGTTGGTTTTATGCTTTGTAGTCCATCCAAAAAGCTAACAAAACTCATATTGTTACTTAGTGTAAACAAAACAATCGCTTCAGTAAAGTGCAAGTTTTTCAGACAGTGAGTCCAGAAAACAATTACTTCTTACTTCCTCCTCAAGAAATCACTGTGAAATGCAAAAATAACGTTCTCGGCAATGACGTTACAAGAAACCCAAAGATGAGTTTTAATAGCATAATTCAATGAAAAATAATTCTATGGGAAAAGAAAAGATTACAGCTCACCAGAAACACAAAATTGCGTATTCCAAAGCACAACCACTGATGGTCTGTGGCTGCTCCTGGTGGCTCAATGGCACTATCTGTGACTGTGTTGGATGCACACAGGTGGTCATCTCCCAGTACAGTGTGAGTCATTCAGCACCTCAAGTCACTGAAGAGTGCCTGACAGACCCTAGGCCCTCCTAGCCCCACATCTCAGTCTTGGTTCCTCAATACAGCAGCTAAGTCTTGATTTAAGCAAATGAAAACACAGCAGGGAGCTCTGCTATTACTCCAAATATGATTACTCACTATAGGCTTTAGAACAAAGGAAATAGAGACAAATTAATCAAAAGAAGCAAAATATCTAGTAAAGACATTACTGTCAGTGGTTGGCGGTTAATGAGTGAGTGACCTGGATAAGGACTACTTATTGCTAAAGGCATCCTCCAATACACAGAGTGGGGAAAGTGAAAGAAAATTAAACACACAAAAACAGCACTATTCTTTTTTGCCTGTGACAGCAAGCCAAAATGTCAACACCAACTCCTTAACTTTACTTTCCATGTAAGCAAGCAGCATTAGCATTTCTCTAGAGGAAAGGACAAAAAAATAGTTCATAACAAGGTAAGATTTGGAATTAAAAACATAAACTGGTGTGGTTCAACAAAGCCAGATTTTTCAGTGCAAACAATGTATCAACTGTCAGTTGAGTGAAAAGATAACCCAGTCTCCAGTGCCTAGGGGCCTGGAATTATACACTGCAAGGTATTGTGCATCAATTTCCCATGTGTCAGAGAAAGGAACAGTTTAGCCTTGACACCAAGAGGTCTGCACACACAAATACCTAAAAGTAACCTAAAAGTCTATTCATGTCCTTAGCCCACTTTTTGATGGGATTATTTGTTTCTTGCTAATTTGTTTGAGTCCATTGTAGATTCTGGATATCAGTCCTTTGTCAGATGTATAGATTGTGAAGATTTTCTCCCACTCTGTGTGTTGTCTGTTTACTCTGCTGACTGTTCCTTTTGCTGTGCAAAAGCTCTTTAGTTTGATTAGGTCCCAGCTATTTATTTTTGTTCTTATTGCGTTTGCTTATGGGTTCTTGTTCGTGAAATCCTTGCCTAAGCCAATGTCTAGAAGAGTTTTTCCAATGTTGTCTTTTAGAATTTTTATAGTTTCTTGTCTTGGATTTAAGTCCTTCATCCATCTTGAGTACCACTTGTTCCCCAATAACCTATGGAAATACAAATATTAAAAAATACAAAATAAAAGTTACTTAGCACTCAATTGCAGTATGTCTGAACCTCTTGGAAAGATGGATGCCTTTCAACTATTAAAATTATTTTTTAACTATATATCTGAAAAGCATTATTAATAAAGATTCGTGAACTTAGCAGTTATAGTTCCAGAGAAAGAGTGCCAGGTGTACAGCTCTTAGAATGTAAGCTATTAAGATGCAGAGATTGTATCTGTGCAAATCACTTTGTTCAACACCAGCGAGAAGTGAAATATTTACAAATATTTTTTTGATGACAATGACAAGGAATCAGGACCCTTGATTAGAAGAGATGGATATCCAAGTCAAACCAGCTATCTTAGAAAAGAAATTGGGAGCTCCCCTTACCAAATGTTGAGAAGAGCAGAAGTAGAGCTGGGCCTCAAGCTAGTGCCAACATCTGAAAAGGGGCTGTTGGGAAGAGCAGAAGCAGGACTGGGCCTCAAGCTAGTGCCAGCATCTGAGCATCTGAAAAGGGGCCAGGACTCCCTGTCTCTAAGTCTTTCATTCCCACTTTCTTGGTATCTTGGCTTTATCTCCAAACCAAAATCCTTTTCTTCCCTAGAGGAGGAAATAGAACTCCAGTAGCTCTCTGCTAGCATCAAGCTAAGCTGAGGTGTAAAAACTCTCTTCTACTTAGTTCTGTGCATGGACAGAATCATCTGCCTACTCACAAACCAATCCTGTATTGGGGGTGTGGCATTCTGATCTCCCAGGTTGGGTCATGTGCCTACCCTTAGGGTGGGAGGCAGAGATTTATGAGTTGGGTGAGGAAAGAGAAGTAGTTCCTGCAGAGGAAAGGAACATGCACTGAACTACAGAAATGGGGAGAAGCAATGAATATTAAAAGAAGTAGACTGATGTTAGGAGAAAATGGCAAAACTAGGGTAAGATTCCCATATATCTCAGCTGGAGTACTACAGAGCCCCATGTGTTAATACACAAGAATACATTTTATAGAAGATGTTATTATTATTTGTATGAAACTGGATACTCAGTTGAATTCGTACATGAATGCATAATGCCATCGCTCACTACCAAAAATTTTGCAGTAGAGCTTCCCACATTTGGGGCAATTCCAGGGATCAGCATGCCCCTATAATGGATCCAGAGTGGAATGGATAAGCCTTGCCCTGGGAAAACTGCCTTTAAGATCATGGTATCTGCCCTGCCAGGTAAGTATGAAACTGGATCTTTCTAAGGCACATTGGAACAAACCTCATTTTTAGCCACAAGTTATGGGTATTTTGAAAAGCCCTTATTGCAAAACACATAGAAACAGCAGGTAAAATACAGTCAACATGGACTTAATGCATGGTTGTTCTTCCAAGAGGGTAAGGAAACCCCCGGGGAAATGGCAAAGCAGAAAACCTGAATGGGGGGGAAACGGCAAAGCAGAAAACCTGAATGGCCAATGAATGCAAAACCATGGCTGCTCCGGAAACATTTCCCAACCTCAAGAATCTAGAGACTTGAATCTGAAGGCTGAGCAGGGTGGCAGAAGACAAGGCTTTTAGGTCACTGCCAGGTAGAGACCTCTGCATACATTCAGAACTCATTAATCAGGAATTAAAAGCTTCTAACAAAAGTAAAGAGATAAAAAAGGAGCTTGTTCATCTCATGTTCATTGCAGCATTATTCATAATAGCCAAGAGGTAAAAGCAACCTAAATATCTGTCAAGAGATGAATGGATTTTAAAAAGTGGTATATACACAATAAATTATTATTCAGCCTTAAAAAAGAAAGAAATCGTGTCATATGTCATAACATAGATAAACCTTGGGGATACTATACTAAGTGAAATAAACCAGTCACAAAAATACAAACACAGTGCTGCATGATCCTTCTTATATGAGGTTTTTAAAGTAGTCAAACTCTTAGAAACAGAGACGTAAAATGACAGGTGCCAGGGACTAGCGGAGGGGGAAAAGAGGACTTGTTCAGTGGGTATAGAGTTTTATAGTGAATCCCACACTTAATCCTACTCAAGCTGGTATAGAGGATAGAAACAAAGATAAGACTATAGATTTATGAACAATAAAAAGTGTAAACCAAGCATTCTATACCTAGCCAAACTGTCATTCACATATGGAGATGAAAAGAGAAAAAGAGTTTCAAACATGCAGGAATGTAGGACAATCATTTGTACAACCTTACTGAAAAATTGTTCTCTGAATTAACATAAATGTGGCCGGGCATAGTGGCTCACGCCTGTAATCCCAGCACTTTCGGAGGCCAAGGTGGATGGATCGCTTGAGGCCAAGAGTTCAAGGCCATCCTGGGTAACATGGTGAAATCCCATCTCTAGTAAAAACTCAAAAATTAGTTGGGCCATGGTGGCGGGCTCCTGCAATCCCAGCTGAGGCAGGAGAATCACTTGAACCTGGGAGGCAGAGGTTGCAGTGAGCACAGCACTGCACTCCAGCCTGAGTGACAGAGGGAAACTATGCCTCCGAGAAAAACCAAGCAGACAGACAAATACATTTTACACTGGCAAAGATCAAATTATTTGTGATTATAGTGCTCATCATTTACTGAGCATATAATCCCTAGCAGTAGTTTCACTAGATACTTTATAAATGCCATTTCTGTCTGTCCTTCAACAAGCCTCTAAATTAGATGTTCTATCCACTTTATGGATATGAGAAATCTAAGAGAACTTACTAACCCACTCTTAGATTTCTCATCTATGAAGTTGACAAAATAGCTCATTTACAGGCTTTGTAATTTCTAAAATATCATATAGCTAGGATTGTAAATTGATCCTGGTACTTTTTGATTTTTTGAGTTAAAGTTCATGCTGAAGCGTGTTGGGTTGACAGGCATTCTGAGATTCAGCACAGGGCATAAGCAAAATGGCAGCTTTTCCTACTGGGGTAAAGGAGTCAGACCACCAAAATAATCGGTTCTTTAAACCTCCTTTCTGATGACTCACATCCTCAAAACTTTATGAACTCTTAACATGATATCGTGTACACTGGAAAAATGCAATGTATATTTTTAATAAAAATGGAGTGGGTTTTAGGAGATCTAGAGCAGTCACAGCTGACATCCAAACTGTTCTATTTCACTCGCAGAGGTTTCCATCTTCCACCACCACGACCTCCACCTTCCTGCTCTTCACTCCTCCTTACTTTACTAATCTAGTTACTGTTTTTCTCTCTTCCAATTCAGACTCAAAGTGACAGGACGGGACAGAATGAGGCAGAAATCACAGGGTTTGTAAGGCCTGGAGAATGGGGTTCACACAAACCTTTGGACCACTTTTTCTCAGGGGTAGACTTCATGCTCAGATGCTGATGTTCTGTGCTGGACCTGTTTGGGTTCCTCCTCCTCATTCACTCTTGCTCCTGAGCATCACCTGCTCTGACTTGTAAACGTTCTTCTAACATCCCCTAACACAAAGGAGTTAACTGAAGCTCTGAGAGGCCTGGAGGTCAGTCATGGACCTTCACATTATTTGACTTTAAACAAATCTTGAAAGATTCATCCCCCTCAACATGGCACTTGTGTGCATGTAGAGGCATTCATCTCACACCACTACAAAAGAAGCAGCAGTGTTTGCCAGAAATCATGGGATTCCTCTTTTTTCTCCGGGCTCCGGGTCTGAATTGCCAGGCCGGCTTTGTCAGGAGTGATAAATGTAAGAGTCATGGCTGGGTGGGGCTGGATTGTGCTATGTGTGGCACATAAGGGATGAAAGTGAGAGATATTTCCTAATTACAAATGTATGTTCTTTATTCTTCAAAGTTTGGATTCACACCTCTCTATTCCATTTTTCTGCACAAAATCTCACTGTATCATTAATGGATTTGTCCAGTGCATTGATAATATCATAATCTATCCACTCTAACCTGATTAAGCATGCACTTGTCATTTTAAAAAATGAGGAAACTGGCATACATGTTTCAGCAAAGAATTTGCCACACCTGCATTGTGTATGCAGCTGGTTTAATTACAGACATAATGTATTTAGCATAGTATGTACGAAGCTGCATCACACCTGAACATCCCATTTGATGTATTTCCTGAGACCTATTTGCCACTGTTCTTTCCTTTGTGACTGTCCTTACAGAATTAATATTTTGATAACTATTATATAATTAATTATCCTTCAGGACCTCATTGAAACTGCGATCTTATTCCATCACATTTGGAAATGAGTGTACGCTTATAGCTCCTTTTGAAGATAATGAGGCATCACAGAAGGAGCCATGATCTACATTTCCTTGAACATCCAGAAAGCAGAAATTACGATACTGTGACTGGCCCTGGCTGTGTTTTGATGAGATTGTCTTGGTCATCACTTTCTCAGTTTCTTAGCACCAAGTTCTTGGGTGACCAGTTGCACAGAACACCACTTGCATTACTGAATACAAACTGACTTGGGGTCTATAGGGTGACGGTGGTTGAGGGTTGACAGCAGTGCTGTAGGAACAAGACTTGAATCACAGAGGGAGTCTACATGGAGCAATGTGGTGATATATTTCCAAGCACACAATTTCTACAACAGGTCAACTGCAATTCCCACACAGCTGACCCAGCCCTAAAGTGAACATTGAGTAAAAGCAATCATATCTTTATTCCAAACCATCTGAATTTGCTGATTTTTATAAATATGTTATTTTATTCTATCAAATAAATTCTACTCCTGGATTCCTTAAAACAACTCCTGCATTACTTTGTAGGTAAAACTATCAAAAAATTTGCATAATTACTTCATTTGAAGTTATTAAACTGCTAAGGCAGCAAAATTCATTAAGCTACATTTTACTAAACTCTAATCATTAAGTGAAACAATATTTTTCCCTCAAAAAAGGTAATAGTTTCCTGGAAATATTCTTCATGGCTTTATTTCCTCTGCTAATTGATCCGGGTCATTTAATTCAATAATTTTTATAAAGGTAAAATTATAGGAATTTAATTGACTTTTGCTTAGCTTCCAATTATGTCTAATTTGTTTCTATTCAGTCTCATTAGATCCAGTTATGGTTGGACTAATAGTAATTACTCCCAATAGTTAATGTACTTTAAAATAAGGACTCTGTCTTCTGTTATTTTCAAGTAATTTTTCATCAGGGTTAGGCAGGGCTTCTTAATCATATTAATACAAATGGTTTCCTATGTACATGAGTAAGTTTGCATTTAGTACGCAGGCAATCCCATGTAACTTAGCAAAGCTAGCAAGTCCCTAGACACGGCGCAGCCACTGTAGAGGTGGCCTCTCACTAGCATCGTTAATATCAATTGTAATTGGTAGGCAATCACTTAGTTTCACATTTCATTACCCGAGTTATACAAATGTGTAAAAAAAATACAGTTTTAATAAAAGGGAGTAAAGGATAATATGAGTAATATTCACAATCTCTAGTTGGAAGAGGTAGTGTTTTCTCAGAAATGATGCATTCCTGGAGCAAGGTCATTTTGTGTTTGGTTTGTTAAATATCTATTTCCATTTTGACAAACCATTGGAAAAGCCCAGCTTCACAAGGACTCTCCATGAAAGCGATCACAAAAAAGAACACCCATAACACAAAATCAAAACAAGGGTGGTCTGGGCTTCAATTAAAGACTCATTACCAAGTTTTCTTAGAAGAGATAAGGAACACAAAGTTACTTTTATGTGATGGAAAACAGAGAGAAAGAGTAAATGGAACAATAACCGTTAGGAAACAGCAGTGAGAAACAAGCTGTGGAAAAAAATGAATGGAATTATGTTTTGTTTGCTATTGATTTCCTATCCTGATATCAGAAAATATGGGAAAGAACAAAGCACATTTTTTGAGACAAATAGAACATAGAATAAATTAGCATTAAAGATTATTTTGCAGTGCTAACAAAAATATCTGTGACTTGTTTCTTCCCTTCAAAAATACGATTTTGTACAATTACATTTATATGAATTATAGAAATAAAATTGTAAAGATGGAGAACAGACTATGGGGTTGCCAAGGGGAAGGGATGGAGGAAAATGTGTCAGAGTGTCCACAAAGATTGCAAGTTGGAGCCTGGCGGTGAGGCTACAGTTCTGTATCTTGACTGTCGAGGTTGTAGTTACAGAGATCTACACGAGATAAAAATGCACAGAACACATGCACACAAATACACACACACATACATACAAAAACAAATGTGTACAAAATGGTTGTGATCTGAGCAAGCTTTCTGAATTGTACCTATGTCAGTTTCCAGGTTTTGATATGCTCTATGGCTATGCGAGATGTCACCGTTGGGAGAATTAGTGAAGAGTACCTAAGACATCCCTGTACCTTTTGCAACTTCCTGTGAATCTATAATTATTTCAAAAGAAACTTGAAAGTCGAGTATAGCAAGGACTAAATCCATCACTTCAAAGAGGAAAAAACTGAAGATGAATGAAATTGTTGAAGAACATCAAATACTCAACAGTCCGTATGAGAGCTGTATTCTGTCCACTCGAAGCTCAGCTGTCGTTTAGCCTTTTCCTGACGTGCCCTGGAGGACTTGAGCTCCCCTTGGATTGCCAAGGCCTATAATGTTTATTTGTTACTAACTTTGTGCTGGACCCAAAAAAAAATGAAAAGTGATCGAATAATCATTTATAATAACAACTAGTACTTTTACTTATAAAGAGACAATAGTGGTAATGAATTTAAATATTTGGGGTAAAGAATAGGATCTTGGTAAGACAATATTGGCAAAATATAAAACAGAAAAAATAAGGAATCAGAAACATAAGTAGTTCAGTACTGTGAAAAAATTCTGGATCTGAGAAGCAAAAGAACAGAGATTGTATTGCATTTCTGCTCCAAACCTGCTGAATCACCTTAGGCAATGCATGCCCTTTCCCTGAATCTGTTTTCTTTTCTACAAAATAAAGTGAGCTAGATCATCTCCAAATATTCACATTTTTCGACTCTACATGGACTTCAGTTGAATTGCTAATTTCAGTTTGGATAATACATGTGTGCTGCACCACAAGTGGTGTGTCTAAACCCTCATGTTGGTCCTAAAAAATAATTAAATCTAGCATTTGGCAGCTGGAAGCCATTGCAATCTTTTAAGTATTCCTGAAGCTTATTTTATCAGTGTATCAAGATAAAATGCTAATAACGTGGTAGATATAAAGTCTGTTAGCAACTATCAGTGCTGTGTTATCTCAGAAGACTTTGTTAGGATAATGATAAGAAGTGGATCAAGTAAAACAGCCTGAATTGACCCCCAAGATCCACTAAAATGATTAACTATTCCATTCATGAAAATTCACTACAGTCAAACTATCTAAACTTGCTGTTCCTGAGCTGACGTTATTCCAGTTCTACATGGCAGTATTAATTGCACCTCCATTTGGCTAAGCATCATGAATAACAGCAGTCTTAACAATGTATCGCCACTTCCTTATATACCTGTTTACACTTGTGATCATAATAATGTCAACTTTAATACTCTCACCAAAAAAATGTTGAAAAAAATACCCCTTTTACAACGTAAAGCTAAAGATCTAGGCTTGCATAAATGATCAAAAGCTAAAAGGTAGCACCAGTAATCTCTGTTAGTACTGCAAAAAGACATCAAGTTCAGTATCAACTTAATAAAAAAGACAGTTATTAACCAGCAACTGAACTTTAAGGTTATCATGTTGCTTGCAACTGAAATACGAGCCTATTCACGAACACAGACGATATTCACATGAACATCCCTGCTAAACTCTACCTGAGCTCACCATGAGAGTAAACCGGGAGGAGGGGTAGAGATGATAGCTCTCCATATATAATGCTTGAATCTCCAGGAGGCAACAGAACAGGATCATTGCCCCACCATGGCTCCTTCCCATCTGTTTTGATCATCCAGGCAGACCTATAGTGAAACAAAATGAAAGCACTAACAGTTTCCTGGGCTGTATTTTTCTTAGTATCCTACAGAGAAACACCTAGTCACACTGCCACTGACTGCACTCCTAACCCTGGATTTTGCATTCTCACACTGTGGGTTACAAGAGGCAAACAGCAATGCAGATCCATCACTATCATCGGATATAATGCAAATAAGACACTTGCTGTGGATGGCTGATCATAACAATAACATGATCTGGGGGCATCAGAAGTCCTGCTTGACTCTTATTTTCTAACATTTTTGCAGGCTGCTGGCTGACCTCCACCCCACTTCAGGAACAACAGGATAGACTACAGCTGGGCCGATCCATAAACTCACCAGTAGCCCAGGAGATGGCCTGACATGAAAAGTTCTGCACAAGCAGGAGCAAAATGAGCCAATAGCTCCACTTGCATTCTGTTGGTATCCTGCATGTTATTTTCACAGAGCAATACAAGTTTCTGCTGTACTGCACACACATATTACTCACTTTCTTTGCCGCCATGATGCTTAAGTATTTCAACTGCATTTTTAAGTAATATATCTTTCAAAACTTCGCTTAAAAATTGCATGATCTCCAGTTGTAGCTTCAGTAGTCTGTTGAAAAGTTTGTCTAAGACAGTAGGCTTTAAACATTGAAATAACTCCTTGGTCCACTAGCTGGACGATTAAAGTTGTATTTGTTAGTAAAAAGCGGCTTTTTAACATCTTCATGGAGGTATCCAAATGAATAAAGGTGACCTGGACACTTATCCAACAGTGATGGTGCTTTAAAAGTTAAATTATGTGAGTTTATGACTGGAGGACAAGTAGTTTACACAACTACACACCTTGATATCTGTCTAAACTAAATTCATACAGACGCACAGGTACACAGCGACAAATAACCAGCACACTTTCACAGAGACAGCATGATTGCTCACTGATCATCATGCTTGTCCATTAAATACTTACTAATTTTTGTACTAAAAACCAGCATCAAAATTTGTACTGAATGAAATTACACATAGTTAATACACTGTGGAAAGTGAAATTTGCACTGTGTCCATGAAGGAATTATATATGTTATCTAACCAAAGCACAGTAACAAAAATTCCTGCATATAAGAACCACGAAAAGCCAGGACTGCTGTAAGATTTTTATATTACTTGGGAGATGATATAATAGTACTTAAGAATAAACTGTGATAAGTTAACAATATACACGGTAAACGCTTGAGCAATAACTTTGAACAAAAATACATAGTGCACCTATTGAGCCAATAGTTGCAATAAAATATAATACTGATATGGTTTGGCTGTGTCCCTAATCAAATCTCATCTTGAATTGTAGTTCCCATAATCCCCATGTGTCCTGGGAGGGACCTGGCAGAAGGTAATGATACTTATTGAGCATCTACTATATCAGGTGCAGCCAGTGTAGCTCTTGAACAAGACAGACAAAATTCTCATACCTCTACCAGGGTCATATTTGATCTTCATTTATCTACCATTTATAACATTTTATTTGTCTTTTATTGGAAACCCTTCAAATCCTTTCTGAAGTAGATATAGTTGAAATAAAGATATAAGTTGAGACTGAGATCATATACTGCATTATTTCCCTTGCAAATTCATATTAATTACAGTGAATATCTCATTTTGTTTTTCTTTTTGTTTGGAGGGAAGGAGTAGTTCCTGTCTTGCTACTTTTCTTTCTAACCGTGCCATGATTTAAGTTCCTTCATTCATCGTGTTGGCTCTCTTGAAGAAAAATCCAGACACCTGCCTTACACTGGAAGCAGCAAGGGCTTTTCCTCGCCGGCTCCCGTGCAGCTCTCAGGCAGGCGTGTGACCAGACCATGGCTGTCAGTCGCTCTCCCTCCAGGCTTGGACTCTTGATCCGTGATGAGAGAACAGCAGAGGCACATGATATTTATCGCAGCACCAGTGCGCTGAGCGAACCCTTCCTGCCCAGAGACGAATGCAGGGTCCTTGCTTCCCCAGTCCCTTTGATTTCTATTTTCAAGCCTAGTTTCTCAGCTTCCAGTTTATTCTTTGAGCCTTGCTCTCATTGCTACCACCAACATTTTTCAGGAAATTCCCCTTTCTTTTCATGTTATTTTCAGATGGTTGCAACTAAAGAGCACTAAGCAACACTCTCCAAACTCAACTGGGCCCTGCTATTCCCAGTGTTGCCAATGAGAAAGAATACATGGAGCCCCACAGAAGGAGGAGTCAGAGTCCTTAGCTAAGGGAGGAGACCACTACTCATATCGTCTTATGCGCAATTTCTGCCTCCAAAGAAATAAGAAGTAAAAACTAAAAGGCAGAAATGAAATCCACAGGCAGACAGCCCAGTGCCACACCCTGGGCCTGGTAGTTAAAGATCGACCCCTGACCTAATCGGTCAGGTTAACTATAGATTACAGATATTGTATGGAAAAGCACTGTGAAAATCCCTGTCCTGTTCTTCTCCGTTCTAACTACCAGTGCATGCAGCCCCCAGTCATGAACCCTCAGCTTGCTCAGTCGATCACGATCCTCTCACGCGGACCCCCTTAGAGTTGTGAGCCCTTAAAAGGGACAGGAATTGCTCATTTGGGGAGGTCGGTTGTTGGAGACGTGAGTCTTGCTGAAGCTCCCAGCCGAATAAAGCCCTTTCTTCTACAACTCGGTGTCTGAGGGGTTTTGTCTGCAGCTTGTCCTGCCACAAGCCAGCACTGGACACTCAAAGTCTCTTGTGCAATAAGCACTCAATAAATAGTGGTGAAAGGAAAAGGGTGGAAAGGAGGAGGGAAGAGAAGAAAGGACAAAGAAAGAGAGGAAAAGAAGGAAAGGAGGGTGGGAGGGAGGAAGAAAGAGAGGGAGGGAGCAAGAAGGGAGGGAGGGAAAAATGTAGGGTGGGTGGGCAGGAGGAAGGGAGAGAGAAAAAGATAAAGGGAGGGAAGGGAGGGAAAGGGGAGGGGGAGGGAAAAACACAAGGGCGTGGGAATAAATCCCAAATGACCATTTCTGGCAAAAAATGCTGAGTTAAAAAAATCACGGGAGAACACCCCTTTGTTTAGGTACTTGCTATCTCTTAAAAGAACACAGAAATTATAGTTTATATATTTTACATGAATATTGAGGAAAATAAGGATCTGAAGGATATGCAGAGAAATACATGAAAATACAAAATTAGGTGTCTAAATTCAGAAAAGCTGGTAAATATTAATGAAGTAAAATAGCAGGCAAAGACATGTGGGAGGGGAGTGTGACTTAGAATGTAGACCTGAATAAGAAAATTAAAAGTTATTTTAAAGTTAGTTGAAGGACTAAGGGTGGAAATCCATAGGATTCCTGCTTTTTTTCTGTCTATGCTACTTTGGCAAGTATAGTGCATAAAAGACATAAGGAAGATTGAGAAAATCATGGATGATCTTTCTACTTAAATGAAATTGTATCCAAAACCAAAAAACAAAAACAAGAGTGAGAGACAGAACTTTTTCTATGGGTTTCCCACTGTGGAAATCTCCCTACAGACACCTCATGTGTTCTTTGATTATTTGGCTGGTTGGATTATTTTCTCTCTCTTCTGGCTGTTTGCTAACTGAGGTTTTCATTACAGAGGCCGTCTATCACCCGGGTACCAATTCCTGATTAATGGAAAGATACCATCTCTCGACATGGTACCCTCCAGGTTTGATTGACGCTGCTTCGAGCTTTGAGCACGCATCGGTTATGTGACCCCGGGCCTCTTGTTTGCTCATCTGTTTTCATTTTGTGGTATAGAAACTTTACATGTCCAGCCACTACTAAGCAGAAACACAAAGAAGCAATTATCTATTCAATTGATGTTTCCCAGATGCAAGTTATTTAATGCTTTTATTAACCCTTAGAGTGGCATGTTATTCAGTCTCCACACCAGGTGAATATTCGGTAGGAAACGCAGCTCCTATACACACACTATTGTCATTTAAAATTAAAGGGAAAAATTAAAATGTCTCTCCAGCCAAACTAGCCCTTTTTCAGCATTTTTACATATTATGAAATAAATCTAAGGCAACTTTTAGGTTGTTTACAGAGAATAAAAAGTTATCTTTAAATCTAGGGCTTAAAATGAATAATTAGAGGTAAATCTAGTTGGCTTAATCAAAATAACTGCTATAGGAATTACATACAATTAGCGTCCAAATAAAATCCTTAGCCTACTCTATACAGGAAAGTAATATAAATATTAGATAGGAAAATATCAATTCTCTCTCTCATGTCTTCTCAAGATCACATTTAAACCCTTGATCCTTCTTGTCATTTCAAGCACAAGCCAAAATACAAGCCAAAACACAAGCAAATCATGAGGATAAGGCTGAATTTTAAATCTTGATTCCAAAAGCCACTCTCCTATTCTGGTTAGAAAAATAACAAAGCTATGTTCTGTCTTTTATCACTGCACATTTAGGCCACAATCATTCAAGTGTTTTGCCAACAATGAGCACAGCACAAGGTACCAGGGGGCAATGGGTAGACAACCTTTCGACAGCTTATTCCAGCACAGACTGATGCAAAACAAAATGCTGCCAGAGCCAAGTCCCCTTTCGGCTTCTTCCTGGCTTTCTACAATCTTATTCCTCACTTAATTTCTCCATCCTGTTCCCTTCTCTCTGCCCCTAGTAGCCCGTGACTCACATAAGCCTTTCTCAGGCCAGCAGGCACATGGGAGCCTCACCCGGCCTGGGGCCAGCAGATGAACCAGGAGTGTGACCCAGGTCCCAGCAATAACCAGAGGTGACAGGGCAAGGGCTACAGCTTAAGCACTTTGAAGATGAGACTTCTGACCACATGGAGAGAAAATAAGCACCAACCTATACCCGTTGCACAGGGTACAGTAGAGCCACCAAATTGCAGTCAGGAGCCAGGACCTCTTCGCTGGATGCTGTCCTCGCCCATATCACCCCACACCGGGTCATCGCGGTCTGTGTTCATCACTTTCCACCTCTTTCCTTTATCTTTGTCCTATTCCACCATTGCTTCTGCTTCCTTCCCCAAGACTGATCATGTATGTCCCAACTGAAAAACAAAAATCTCTTTTCTGAACCCTGCAACAGTCTCTACCAGCGGTCCTCACACAGGGCAATGCCCTTCCCACCCCCACCAGAGGACATTTAGCAACATCTAGAGACCTTTATGTTTGTCACCGCTAGGGGAGGGGTTGCCACTGTCATGGGGTGTCCAGGCCAGGGATGCTGCCAAACCTCCTACAAGGCACAGGACAGCCTTCTCTCCCCAACAACAAAGAATTGTGTGGCCCAAACTGCCCATAGTGCTGAGGGAGCAACTCTGCTTTGGACACCACTCGCTAAACTTCCCAAATGAACTCCCTGCGTGTTGTCTACACTTAGTGGTTTGCGCTTTCTCCCTCCCAACTCACACTGAACCGCAAGGATTGGTTGGCTGCCTGCTCTGCTGCACACACACAGCTCTTGCAAATGGCACACCCAATTCTACAGAAAAACGCAGCGGATAGTGCAGAGGAGAAACGCAGGTTCTTTCCTCTCTTCTTTGCTTTTACACAAAGATAATCTTCTCACCAAAACTGTGCTCTCAGTGTGACATCAGAGAGAAACCAGAATGGGACTTCACTGACATCACTCACCACCACAGAAATTCAACTAGCAGCTCTCCACAGGCAAGAATACCATCGTGCATGTCCCAGAATTCAGGACTAAGGCTGAGACACACTCCTGGACCCCAGAGCTAAGAAAAGCTGTTGCAATGGTAAAAAGTGGAGAGAGATGTTGAGCGCACACTCCTCCCCAACCTGGCAGAGCCTCACATGCAGAGATTCCTCTGGATCCGCAGTTGCACGGTGAGAAAGTGAGTTGGAGGCAGAAGTTCTGCTTCCCCACCATTCTGGGCCCCTTTGCAGGAGCTCACGCCTGTCTTGTCCCACAGGAAACGCTTCCCCACGATTCTGGGCCCCTTTGCAGGAGCTCACGCCTGTCTTGTCCCACGGGAAACGCTCCCCCGCCATTCTGGGCCCCATTGCAGGAGCTCACGCCTGTCTTGTCCCACGGGAAACGCTTCCCCGCCATTCTGGGCCCCTTTGCAGGAGCTCACGCCTGTCTTGTCCCACAGGAAACGCTTCCCCGCCATTCTGGGCCCCTTTGCAGGAGCTCACGCCTGTCTTGTCCCATGGGAAACACATCCCCACCATTCTGGGCCACTTTGCAGGAGCTCACACCTGTCTTGTCCCACGGGAAACATTGGGAGTGCCCACAGGGCCAGTTAGAAACAAAAACAGGTGGGGCTCACAGCAAACAGGGCACAGATCGGGCCTGGCCCATGGAGGTGCCACATCAGAGAAACTAGCCAGAGGCACCACGCCACAGGAAGCACCCCCACAGGTGCTCCAGGCTCAGCCCCCAGCGTGCTTCAACGCCCTTCGTAATAGCAAACCCTCGCAAATCCAGCATAGAGGGAGCTGCCTCAGCACAGGAGAGACGCCCATGCCACACCCATAGCTAACGTCATTCTCAATGGTGGAAAGTCGAAAGCGTTTCTCCTAGGATCAGGGAGAAGGATGCCCACTCTCACCACTCCTACTCAACATAGCACTAGAAGTCTTAGCAAGAGAAAGAAACAAAAGGCATTCTAATTGAGGGAAGAAGTGAAATGTCTCTATTTGCGGACAAATTGATCTTTTATATAGAACACCCTAATGGCTCCACAAAAAAACTGTTAGGACATATAAACAAATTAAGGTTTCAGGATATAAAATCAACGTACAAAAATCAATAGCGTTCTATATACTAATAACAAATATTTAAAAAGTAAATTTCAAAAAAAAATCCCATTTACAATAGCAACAAAATAAATAAATACTTAGGTATTAATTTAACCCAGGACGTAAAAGACCTGCATACTGAAAACTATAAAATGCTGATGAAAGAAAATGATGAAAACACAAATAAATAGAAATATTTTCCATGTTTATGGGTAGAAGAAATAATGTTGTGAAAATGTACAAACTACCCAATGTTCTATAGATTCAGTCCAGCCCTTATCAAATATTCAATGTCATTTTTTACAGAAATAGAAAACACAATCCTTAAATTCACATGGAACTACAAAAGACCTTAAATAGCCAAAACAATCATGAAGGAAAAGAACACAGCTGGAGGCATCACACTCCCTCATTTTAAACTCTTTTAGCAGTTGCAATTAGTACACCCTAGAACTGGCATAAAAAACAGACAAATCAATCAATGGAACAGAATGGAACACACAGAAATAATCCCCCACATTTATGGTCAACTGATTTTTGATGAGGGTGCCAAGAACACACAATGGGGAAAGGAGAGTCTCTCCAACAAATGATGTTGGAAAAACTGCATATCCACATGTGAAATAATGAAATTAGACCCTTATCTTATGACATACACAAAAATCCACTTAAAATGGATAAAAGATTTGGCCTGGCATGGTGGCTCATGCCTGTAATCCCAGCACTTTGGAAGGCTGAGACAGGTACATCACCTGAGGTCAGGAGTTTGAGACCAGCCTGGGCAACATGGTGAAACCCCATCTCTACTAAAAATACAAAACTTAGCCAGGCTGGTGGCAGGTGCTTATAATCCGAGCTACTCAGGAGGCTGAGCCACGAGAATCACTTGAACCCAGGAGGCGGAGGTTGCAGTGAGCCAAGATCACACCACTGCACTCCAGCCTGGGTGGCAGAGTGAGACCCTGTCTCTAAATAAATAAATAAAATTTAAAAAATGGATAAAAGACTTAAATATAAAAACTGAAATTCTAAAATGACTAGAAGAAAACATAAGGGAAAGTTCTATAACGTTGGTGTGGACAATAATTTTTTTTGGATAAGACCCTGAAAGCACAGGCAATAAAAGCAAAAACACACAAATAAAATGGCATCAAACTCAAAAGCTTCTGCACAGCAATGGAAACAATCAGCAGAGAGAAGAGACAGCCCACAAAATGGAGTAAAATATTTGCAAATCATACATCAAGTAAGCAGCTAATGTCCAAAATATAAAAGAAACTCAACCCAATAGCAAGAAAACAAATAATTAGATGATGTTAAAATGGGCAAAGGACCCAAAGTCCTCAAAAGAAGATTTACAAGTAGCTAGTTGGTACATGAAAAAATGCTCAGCATCTCTAATTATTAGAGAAATGCAAATAAAAACCACAATGAGTTATCACCTCACCCCTGTTGGAATGGCTATCATCGAAAAGATGAAAAATAAATGTTGGAGAGGATGCAGAGGAAAGGGAACTCTTATGCGTAATGGAAATGTAAATTACTACAGCCATTGTGGAAAATGACATGGAGGTTCCTCAAAAAACTGAATATAGAACCAGTAAATGATGCAGTAATCTCACTTCTGGGTGTGTATCCAAAGGAACTGAAGGTAGGTCCAAGAGACGTCTGCACATCCATAGTTATTGCAGCCCTATTCATAACAGCCAAGATGTGGAATCAACCTAAGTGTCCATCCGTGGATGAATGGATAAATGTGGTATATATACAATGGCATACTATTCAGCCTTTCAAAAGAAGGAAATCCTGTCATTTGTGACAACATGGATGAATCTGGAGGACTTTATGCTGAGAGA
Source organism: Homo sapiens (assembly GCF_000001405.40). Classification (NCBI taxonomy): domain Eukaryota; kingdom Metazoa; phylum Chordata; class Mammalia; order Primates; family Hominidae; genus Homo; species Homo sapiens. The sequence continues at coordinate 373,713 of NT_187679.1, forward strand.
AATAAGGTAGGCGCAGAAAGACAAATACCCCATGATCTCACTGGCATGTGAAATCTAATAAGGTTGAACTCATAGAAACAGGAAGTAGAATGATGGTTACCAGAGGCTGACAGGTGCGGGGTGTGGGAAGACAGGGAGTGAGGAGTTGATGATCAAAGAGAACAAAGTTTCAGATAGACAGAGGGTTGGTGATCCATTGCATAGCAAGGTACTGTAGTCAGTAATGATGTGTCATATATTTCAGAATAACTGAGAGCATAAATTTCAATTGTCTCACCATGAAAGAGAACAGGTAAGCAAGGCGATGAATATGTTAGCTTGATCTAATTATTTCATCTTGTATACAATTATCAAAATATCACATTGTACCCCACAAATGTATACAGTTATGATTTGTCAATCAAAACAAATGTTAATAATATTTTTTGTTCTGAGACAGTCTCACTCTGTTGCCCAGGCAGGGATGGGGTGGTGCAATCATGGCTCACTGCAGTCTCAATCTCTCAGGCTCAAGCGATCCTCTTGCCTCAGCCTCCTGAGCAGCTGGAACTACAGCCACATGCAACCACACTGGACTAATTTTTTAAATTTTGTGTAGAGATGGGATTTTGCTATGTTGCTCAGGCTGGTCTTGAACTCCTGGACTCAAGCTATCCTCCATCCTTGGCCTCCCAAATTGCTAAGCTTACAGGCAGGAGCCGCTATATTCAGGCAACTTTTTTAAAAAAACTATGTTCTCTGCTGGTTTCTGTGACCTCGTCACATCATTGTCGTGGTCATTGATTCCTGAAGTGTGAACTCTAAATGCCTTTGTCTGGCTCCTAGGACCCTTGTCTACATGCCCCACCATTGAATCTCATAGGTCCTCCCCTCACACCTTGCTTTTCGGTTGTGCAAACCACTTATCAATTCCCAAAGAGGCTGAGCACACTCTAATCTTTCCTTTTCTGCCCAGATTCCTCCCCGCTAATGCTGATTAACCCTTTTCCACCTTTCGAAATTCAAGACAAATGTCTCCTCCTCTGTGACAGAATTCTGGGCCACCGTCAGTGCCTTCCTCTTGCCTGACAAATATCTTGTCACACTTCAGTTTCTACACTTGCTATACCTGTGTGTTCATATGTCTATTACAACCTCCTCTCCATGCAAATGGAAGGCCCTGGATCTGGGTTCTCTGTACTTTTGTACACCGAGAGCCCAGTACAGTGTCTGGCAATTAGTTGGTACTAAATAACAAAATATGGCAAAACAAATAAATAAAATACATGATTTAAAAGCAGACAATGTAATTGTCATTTGAACAAGTTCTCCAACTTTATTCTATTACCTTTAAATTCTCTCTTTTTCCTTTCTTCCCCATCCTTGCAAATGAAAAGATCCATGTACTATCAACCTTCCTCTCAAGGCTTGGGGTTTTAATGAGTCAATGTAATAAATTTACGTGTTTTGGAGACGAAAGAGCTGAGACAGAGAGGCTAAGTAACTTACCCGAGTAGGAGCTGCGACCTAAAGTCTGTATTTCTGACACTGCACTGATCCTAACCCAGGCAGTGAAGGTCCAGGGAAGTGAAATAAGACACACTGGACCATGACGATACATGGGAGGGAAATCTGTGAAAGACAGAGAAACAGAGCTTAGTGCCCAGGGTGGGATCTTAGGCTATTCTGGGTGATGGTGAGTGGGCAGGCCAGCAGCATTAAAGCAGCAGTAGGAGGCAGGGATGGGACCCTCGTCATAACCCGCCTCTAAGGGAACTCACTGCAGGGTGAGCATGGCCCATCAGTGACCCGTCAGGCAGGTGTAGCAGATATTTTGCATGACTCTGATGCACTGCTTCCATTTTTTAAGGGAGTGGTTGACTCACAGTCGGTATACCGGGGGTGACCCAGGCTCTGGTCTGCCGCAGTAACACTGGTCACATGCTCCCCGGAGCGCAATGGTAGCTGGTTGAGCATCCTCACCAAGTATGGTTACCTGCTTCTCATTCTCACGGACACAGGCTTCTAACAACTTTTCCGATTGCACAAGATCATTTTTGAGGCTTCATTCCCTCCCCCACAGTAAAGAACAGACCCCAAATCCTCAGCTTGGTCTAAAAAAAGTATTCTAAAATATGTACATTGATTTTTTCAACTGAATGTTTTCAACTAAATCATCTCAATGGAAAGTGAAAAGGGAATTTTTGTTTGTTCAATAGTTTGCCCAAAGGATTGTATCATTTCTTTAAAGTAAATTTTAGTCAAAAAGTAGATTTATATAAAATTCTAACAAAATTGCTTTCTTCTGGAATAAACAAGTCCTGTAAAATACTGTGTATTTATATATAAAATAACAGATAATATACACTATATATATATCACACCCTATAATATGTACTATATGTATATAAATATTTTATAAGGAGAATTTTATTCCTATGACGTAATGGTGTTATAATTTTGAAAACCAGAAGTAGGGCCTAACAATGTGTTAAAAATATTTGCACTAACTGTTAATTGATGCGTTAATGTCATTTTCATCTTCCCCCAACAAATATTTAACATTCAATACTTATACATATCCCCTGGTAAATGAACTTTCTTATTTGCCAGCAAAGGTTCTTAGAAAAATAGACTGAAAAGAAATAACTTCTATCTAAAGATGTTTCAAAAGCTTCACACAACTTACAGAATGGATAAAAATGTCGCATAACTTACAAGGGTAAATTAGCATGTGAAGGGTAAATATCATTTTACTTTAATGTCTCTCAAAAATCAAAATCTTACCTTACCATAATTCTTAACCTAAAAAGCAATTAATAAGCAGTGTTTTATAATGTTGCTGTATCTTGGGTGTGCCTGGGGAACTATTTGTGTTCTTCTTAACTGAGCTGTATAAGCAAGTAACAAGCTGCTCTGAGAAATCATTCGGCTTTTGAAACCAAAATGATTATTAGATTAGGTCAGAGAGATCCACAGCCAAATTTATCATGCTCATATGTCTCTTTTTATCTGCCAAATATAATTGCTTGTTATTTGTCTTTTTAAAATATAAAATAAAGTTCAGTGCGCAAATAAAAATTCAATGCAGCTCAATACATGAAAGTTGTTTTTACAGAGATTCAAATCAAAGCCATCCTGTCCAATCCCGCTCTCATTTAGAAAGGTTTCCATTGGAGCAGAAAGGTGGTAATGGCTGACAGCCAATCTGCAGTGGAAAAAATGCAAGCCTGTGACCTAGAAGGCACTGGTGTTCAAAGCCCTAATTACTCAGATGTCAGAAGTACAAGATTACAGGCTTTTATAATGTCAAGATAATTAAGATAGTTTGCAAAATTGCACCTGGTAAATTCTAAATTCAAGTGACCCCAGTGGTCTGCAAAAGAATATAAAGATGTCCTTGGTAGCCTTCTGCCTGTATCTCAGTGGTACTCTCTTCCTGCCTTTATCTCAGTGGCACTCTCTTTCTGTCCCTAATAATGCACACTGTGATCCCAAACCTGTACCTGTGAGTCGAGACGAACAAGATGGTGCACCAGCTCTTGGGCTTCTGAGAAGAAAAGGAAAACAGGAGCCTGTCCCCATCCCACACTGTGCTGGAGACTTTCTTAGACACTGAACCACACTTCCACCCATTGTGTTGAAGACAAGAATACGGGGAGCCAGAGACGCTGAGGAAACGTGCCCAAGCCGGCGGCAAAGCTGAGATTTGCAGCAGCCCCATTAGTCTAGTAGACTCTGACTGACATCAGCTGAGGCCAGATTTAAAGAGATGAGCATTCATGGGAGCATCTGTTATTTTGTCACACCCTCCCTAACTCGGTTTTAAATAAACAACGCAAGTGAAAAGGGGCAATATTATGTGAATAACTATCATATTACATTATTTGTATTGGAAGACGCTTTTCTTTTCCTCATATATTCTTGATGTCACAAGACTTCAGGCCTTTATGCAAAATGTACAACTGCCACTGTTAAAGTACGTGCTGAAATTATAACGACAACCCTCTCACATCGACCCCCACCCATATGGGCTGGCCCACCCTATAAGATGCATTGTCATTAGTTATAAATTGAACACTCATTAGAGCTGACAAAATGTTGAACAGCAAAGTATCAAGCATTCCCTGTCATGATTTGAGGTTAAATTGTCCAAAGTGACTCAGCACAAGGGAGAATAGGTGTATTTCTGGGACACTTTTTGTATTTCAGACTCAAAATTCTCTTGAAAGAAATACAACTCGAACTTAGCTCATCATATCAAAAGCCAGATCACATAATCCTTCTCACTGAATAAAATCAGATGGGTCTGACAATGAGGTTGGAAGCTTTGCCAAGAGCTTTTGCTGTATGTTTCTCGAGGAGTGAGAGAGAGAGAGAAAGAGGATGCAACCTGAAGTTCAGCAGCAGCTATCACCACACAGTCAGCTACTCCTGAATCCCAGCACCTCAAGGATTAGAGGGTCCTGTTCAACACAGTAGCCACTAGGCACCTGTGGGTATTGGCCACGTGAAATGGGCTGGTTCCAACTGAGGTCAGCTGCAAGTGCAAACTATGTCCTGGATTTCACAGATTTAGAGTGGAAAAGAATGCAAACTCTCTTATTACGTGTTTAATTGATGATTTGTTGACGTGAGATTTGGATATATCGAAGTAAGTAAAACGTATTATTAAAATTAATTCCACCTGTTTGCTTTTTACTTTTTTAATGAGGCCACTAAAGACAACTTACCCATATGTTCCAAATAATTGAAAGTAGGATCTTGAAGAGGCATTTTCATGTCCATGTTCACAGCAGCATTGTTCACAAAAGCCAGATTTTCAATAGCTAAATGGATAAGCAAAATAAGGTCTATCTGCATAATGAAACCTCATTCAGCCATAAAAGATAATGAAGTACTAATACATCCTACAACATGCTTGAACCTTAATAACATCGTGGTAGGTGAAAGACGTCAGTCACAAAAGACCACATACTCTATGATTCCGTTCATATGAAAATCCAGAATGGAGGGGTCCACACAGACAGAAAGGAGGTAAATGGTTTCTTAGCCATGGGGGTGAGAAGATGGGGCCATTTGGAAAGAGTTCTAGGTTTCTTTTTGAGGTGATAAAAATGTTCTAAAATTGACTGTGGTGATGTTTGTACCTACTTGTGAATATATTGAAAACCATTGAGTCATACAGTTGAAGTGGGTGAGTTGTATGGAATGTGAATTATATCTCAACAAAGTTGTTTTTTTTTAAAAAAAAAAAAAAGAAAACTCTCAAGAAACTGATGGAAAGTTGGGAGAGGAGAATTTCAGGCAGAGAGAGTGGCACTTGCAAATAGGATCTGCTGTGAAGGAACAGATTTGTTCTCTCCCCTTGGATGGTGCTCCGTGTCTCTGTCCTTAATTAATACCCAGGCCAGGCTTTCACTGGGCCCCATGGCACTGGCATGGGACAAAGCTCTCCAGGCCTGTCTTGCCCAAAACACTGCTCGTACAACCCTTTATTGTGCATGCATGCAGCCTCACTGAAGCTTCTACTGGAAGAAACAGAAAAACTACCACATAACAGGAAGACAGGGTAAAAAAAAAAGTGCTCCTGGTGGAATACATTAAGTTGCTAGTGATAATTAACCTTGTTATTAAAAGCCACAGTAATTATTACACAAAAATAATGTAACCATGCAAAGTAACAAATCAAATGGACATGTTTGTAAAAATGAGGATTGAGGAAGATTTTTTCTTACTGAACTGCATAAAAGATGTTGCATTTGAAGCATCAGAAAGTGTTTCTCCACCAACAGCATCTCCAAAAAGTCAGAAATCTGACGAATACCATTCCCTTAAAGAACGAGACACTTTGCATGATTGCCTTTTACAGCCCTCACTGAGGCTGGAGACTTCCACAACTGAATCAAAAGAGATGGCTCAACTGTGCCAGGGAAAGGGAACTTTTGCCCTCTGATTCACTTAAAAGGCAGAATGACGGACAAGCCGACCTGCTCAGCCTGCAGGTGAGGGAGGGAATCCGAGCCGCTGGCACAGAGAGGAAAACCACACTGTTAGGTGTCCCGTTTACTTCATGTGCTCGCACCAGGGTGAGGACAGCAGGCCTCACCCCAAAACGCAGAAATGCTGGCATACTGTTCCCCTAAAAAGGAGCTGAAGAGGACATGATACAAACAGCACCTGCCACGTAACCCTCAAAAACATGAGGAAAATTACATGACACTTGTCAGTCCTTTTTGTTGATTCAAATATCTGTGGATTGATTACTAAATTTGTTGACTAATCCCTCAGGTAGTAAACAAGTCATGAAAACCTGAAGGCTATTATACAGCCTTTCCCACATTTTCAAATGTGTCCTGACCTCGACCAGGAATATTCTAGGGTCCGAAAGGGTGATTTATGTGATTCTATAAAGTGACATAATGAGACTGGCTATTAGCATATGTTCAAATACGTTCAAAGCCAGAACCTGGACATGCGATGTAGTGTTTAGGGCCTAACGAAGTAGACCCGATTGATCTTTCACACTTTCGAGAAGCAGGCAGGCGGCTCAGGGCAGGTAAGCAGCTCCGCTGCATGAAGTCATCTGGGGCTCTGATACCCTTGACATTGCACTGGCTTTCCTCGGGATGTTCTAATCATCCATGCCGTCGATACTGACTCCCCACCACACCCATGCTTAATCCTATGAGAAGAGAAACCGAGCCCCAAATCCCTCCTTTTAAGGGCCTTTCACTGCTGGGGGACTTAGATACATGGTCCAGCTTTTTCACTGGGGAAGCTGGGATATGCAGTCTCCAGCAGGCAGCCATATGCCCAACCAAAGCTCAGGAGAATGGGGCTTCTGAGTTTAAGACAGACAGAGGGAAGGGGCAGCAGAGGACAGTTAATGTTGCCATGCCTGCCTTAGCAAAGCAGTTGTGTGTTTCTCCTTAGCACAGAAGGCTATGTGCTTTGAAATGATTGGATTTTCAAAGTCATTTGACCATTTACTAACTCCTCTCCATCACTTCCTGTGCATTCTATAATTTCTCACCCTATCCCATTTTCCCAAACTCTTCCTCTGCATCCTGCTCGTATATATCAGCTCCCTAAATCCTCTCTTGCATACTGTAGTTCCTCTTTAAAAATTCTCTTCACCCCTAGCTATCAGCGAGCATGACTTTCCCAGCCTCCTTCTCCACGGGAATGTTTTTCCTCCCATATTGCACATAAGCCATGGCCTGCAGGTGGGGCAAGCACGCCCTTACTCCCACTGCTGTATTCACACGGTATCTCCTCCTTTCTCCTCCAAAAGCCTCCAGCTCCTTTGGAGCACACGCCATCTGACTAGACCACCTGCGTTTCCCTGCCATCTTCAGACCCCCCACGTTCTTTCCTTCATCCACCACGGACTTCAGCGGCTGGCTCCATCTTCATCTCTACCTACCCTTGTTACCATTTTCAGTGACTTCAGCTTGCGCGTAGATAATCCACTGAGCAGTGAGCTCTCAGATCCTTAGCTTTCTCTCCCACGACACTCTTTCCTCCACCATCCCATGAGACCCAGCCCCACGACCACACCTTAGCCCTTGCCATATAACAATAAATGCCCCACCCCATAAGACTGATACTGGCTGGGTGCAGTGGCTCACACTGTAATCCAAGCCCCTAGGGTGGGTGGATTGTCTGAGCTCAGGAGTCAGAGACCAGCCTGGGCAACATGGCAAAACCCCATCTGTACCCGAAATACAAAAAATTACCCAGGCGTGGTGGCAGGTGCCTGTGGTCCCAGCTACTCGGGAGGCTGAGGTAGGAGAATTGCTTGAGCCTGGGAAGCAGAGGTTGCAGTGAGCTGAGATTGTGTCCCTGCACTCCAGCCTGGATGACAGAGTGAGACTCTGTCTCAAAATAATAATAATAATATTAAAAAGACTGATGTTAACATCTCATTCTCCTACTAAGCCTTATCTTTCCAGCTCACTTACTCTGTGCTGCCTACTCCAACCATTTTCAACATTGTAAACCACAAATCCATTGACCTTAAAATGTTTTTATTATCTATCATCCCCTCCTGGTCTTACTTTGAACTTTCCCACTTTGGGGTCCAGGGCCCATCATTATAATCACGTTATTCAATTTGATAAACTATAACCACAAACTTTGTTTCCATTGAATTCACACAGCAAAGCAATAACCTATTCAGACCAACTATTCACCTACTCAGCGCTGTTAATAAAAGATCATGAAATCTGCAGAGGAAAAAGGAAGAGCTTTGTTGTCTATAAAACAGTTAAAAAAAAAAAAAAAAAAAAAAAACAACTCCCGCAGACATTTCTTCAGAAGCACAAATGAAAGTGTGTGCACCGAAGAACAAAGGAAGGGTTTATGGCTCAAATAGGAAAAGTTTTCTCCCAGGTTCTCTGTCACGTCTGTTTATGCAAATGTAGGATTCACGTGTGTTCAGTTCTTATTGGTTGAGATAGCCAAGCCTTGACTGGGTGGCTTCCCATCCCAACATTAAAAGTGTCTTTGTCAGGTGTTTTCTTTTAAAATGGCCAATGGGGTGGAGATGAGGAGTCTAGCCACTGTTTTTCTTGGCTCTGGTCACAGAAAGCACATGAAGTACGATGTTTGTGAAGAGATGGTTCTCCTCTCACTGCCCCTTATGGCCACTTGAATCTGTTATCTAAATTTGGGTGTCTCCATTAGTCACCGAGAGCCGATTTCCTCCGGAGAGCTTGAGGTCCCATTTACAATTCTATTTCACTGCACCATCAGCCAGCAGCTGAAGAAAATCACAAAGCCATAGTGACTGTCCACACTCTAAACTCAAGGTCACAAATCTGAAACACATACTTATCACCGTCCAGAGGTTGTGCTACACTTCCCTTGTAAACAAAACTCCAGTATTCAAGACATCCAAGTATTTCACACTTTCTTTATGCTCCTGAAGCCTCCAATATTTCTTCTTCTTCCTTCTCTATCGAGAAGAGATAGAGGAACTCCATCTCCCCTCCACCAACTCCAACCTTCCAGGAGGATGGAAGCAACGTCAAGGTGTTCCCATTCCTGTCTCAAGGCAACACCTCCCCCAGCACTCGGGACCTCACCAGCTCTCAAGGTGCACAGGCTTTGCTTCAGCTGTTTTCCGCTCTCTCCTCTGCACCATCATAATGTCATCCACACAAGAGAATTCTCACCAACACACTAACCAACTCCAAGATATCCTTCCCTCTGAAACCCTGCCCTGAGCCAGTGTCTTTCTAGCTCTTTTCCTCATTTCCACTCCCTTGAATTTCATTCTCTTCCTTCCATTCTTGTCAGTGTCCTTCCCCACCACTCCCATAAAGCTCCTTTTATCATCGCCACCAGTGGCCTTCATGTTTCCGAATATGGTGATTCATTTTCTTTCTTTCTGCCAAATATGGTGATTCGTTTTCTTTCAGCAGCATCCGGCAGACCTGAGAATGCTTGTTGAGGCATTTCCTTCTATCAGCTTCCCTGCCACCTTCTCCAGTCAATCCCCTTGCTTCTCTGGCTACTCCTCGGTCTTCTCTGAGGGCTTTGGCTTCTCTGCCAGACTTCTAAACCCTGATGTTTGTCCTGGGCCTTCTCCCTTCTCTATCTATCCTCCCTATCTCCACTTAAGCTAAGTTGGGTCACGCTTTCAAATACTATCATCCCTAAGTGTATGACTTCCAAATTTATATTTTCTAGTCCTGACTAGCCATAGATTCCTAATAAGCCTCTGAAACTTAACACATCCAAAACATTCAATCCAAGAAAATAGAACTATCCACCCAGTTGCTTCAGCCAAAAGTCTAGAAGTCCCATTCTTTCCCCCTCACTTCCCACAATCAGCTCACCAGCTGAATCTGCCCTCTTCTCTCTCACACCATTGCACCACCCAGTCCAACTCATGAACCATTTCCTCAAGTACTGTAATGACTTCTTAACTGTTTCTGTTCTTGCCCACTTATAATCCCTTTTCCACAGAGGAAACACAATAATCTATTTTAGGTATAAATAAAAGCATGTCATTCTTTGGTTAAGCCTTCCAGTAGCTTCCCATTCCTCTTGGATAAAATTCAAACTCCTTACTATGTTCCACAGAGCCCTGTATTATCTGGCTCTTGTTTATCTTTCTATTTTTATCTCCTGCCACACTCTGCCTGGCTTACCGCATCTGCGTCACATTGACCTTCTGTGAGTATTTCAAATGCTCTTTATTCCTCACCACACTCCAAGCTCTTCTCTTTGCCTGTTCCTCACCACACTCCAAGCTTCTCTCCAAGCCTGTTCCTCACCACACTCCAAGCTTCTCTCCTTGCCTGTTCCTCACCACACTCCAAGCTCCTCTCCTTGCCTGTTCCTCACCACACTCCAAGCTTCTCTCCTTGCCTGTTCCTCGCCACACTCCAAGCTCCTCTCCTTGCCTGTTCCTCACCACACTCCAAGCTTCTCTCCTTGCCTGTTCCTCACCACACTCCAAGCTTCTCTCCTGCCTGTTCCTCACCACACTCCAAGCTTCTCTCCTGCCTGTTCCTCACCACACTCCAAGCTTCTCTCCTGCCTGTTCCTCACCACACTCCAAGCTTCTCTCCTGCCTGTTCCTCACCACACTCCAAGCTTCTCTCCTGCCTGTTCCTCACCACACTCCAAGCTCCTCTCCAAGCCTGTTCCTCACCACACTCCAAGCTTCTCTCCTCCCTGTTCCTCACCACACTCCAAGTTTCTCTCCTGCCTGTTCCTCACCACACTCCAAGCTTCTCTCCTGCCTGTTCCTCACCACACTCCAAGCTTCTCTCCAAGCCTGTTCCTCACCACACTCCAAGCTCCTCTCCTTGCCTGTTCCTCACCACACTCCAAGCTCCTCTCCTTGCCTGTTCCTCACCACACTCCAAGCTTCTCTCCAAGCCTGTTCCTCACCACACTCCAAGCTTCTCTCCTGCCTGTTCCTCACCACACTCCAAGCTCCTCTCCTTGCCTGTTCCTCACCACACTCCAAGCTCCTCTCCTTGCCTGTTCCTCACCACACTCCAAGCTTCCCTCCTTGCCTGTTCCTCACCACACTCCAAGCTTCCCTCCTTGCCTGTTCCTCACCACACTCCAAGCTTCTCTCCAAGCCTGTTCCTCACCACACTCCAAGCTTCTCTCCAAGCCTGTTCCTCACCACACTCCAAGCTTCTCTCCAAGCCTGTTCCTCACCACACTCCAAGCTTCTCTCCAAGCCTGTTCCTCACCACACTCCAAGCTTCTCTCCAAGCCTGTTCCTCACCACACTCCAAGCTTCTCTCCAAGCCTGTTCCTCACCACACTCCAAGCTCCTCTCCTTGCCTGTTCCTCACCACACTCCAAGCTTCTCTCCTGCCTGTTCCTCACCACACTCCAAGCTCCTCTCCAAGCCTGTTCCTCACCACACTCCAAGCTCCTCTCCTTGCCTGTTCCTCCATCTGAAATGCTGTTCCCCTAGACCTTTATATCTGTCTCCTCCATGTTTAACAATTTTATGGATTTTTATTTGGAATTCACATTAATATTGATGACATTAAAGTACATATAAATTCATATCCATATTGTATTTAGATCAATGATGGGTTTATATAAATGTAAATTTTAGTTCCAACAATTTGGGTCATCCGTGAATACAAGTATGTTTAATATAAAATGTATTTTAATATAAAAAAGCTATTGATAATGTCATATAGATTGGAAATTTTAAACTCTATTGATGAACATTGAGTCTCTTTTCACTTAAATGTTATATTGCATAAATCAAACACTTTGTCAAAACAAAGCAATAAATGAACAGACAGGTAGGTGATAATTTCTGGCAATGACAAAGCTATGTAAAAATCTAACAGTGTAAAGTGATGTGGCAGGTATGCGAAGGCGTCTAATTTAAGTAAAATCAGCAAGGAGGATCTCAGAAGAGATGGCGCTGGAGTCATGTTCTCAAGTAGAGATGAGCATGTTTTGAAATGATATGGTCAGAGCCTCACGTGATTTGAATACTATTTCTTACATATCTACTGGTGAGTTTCAGAGGCAAACAAGAACTTGAATGAGAGTACATTAGAAAACTAATTATATTTCAAGAATATTTTACAAATGGTTTGAGGTAGGCTTAGTGATATGGTTTGGCTGTGTTCCCACCCAATTCTCACCTTGAATTGTAATAATCCCTGCACATTAGCCACCTGGCGGGGCCAGGTGGAGATAATTGAATCATGGAGGCCGTTTCCTCCCATACTGTTCCCGTGGTAGTGAATAAGTCTCATGAGATCTGTTGGTTTTATAGAGGGGAATTTCCCTGCACAAGCTCTCTGTTGCCTGCTGCCATGTAAGATGTGTCCTTCTTCCTCTTCACTTTCTGCCATGATTGTGAGGCCTCCCCAGCCATGTGGAACTGTGAGCCAATTAAACCTCCTTCCTTTGTAAATTACCCAGTCCCAGGTATGTCTTTATTAGCAGCACGAGAACAGACTAATACACTTAGCTTACGTACAAATTATAATAATTATAATAACTTGTACCTAAGCTAAGCCTGCCTCAAACCATTCTTGAAATATGATTGTCCACTTTCCAATTCAAAAAGTACCAAATTTCTTAGATTAATACATTTTTAAAATGCCTAAATAAGGAAGGGTTTTCAAACAGAAGGCTTCCCATTTAGGTTTCTGCTGCTTCTTGTCCTATAGTATTTAAACACCACCATCCAGGACATCCAAGAAACGGTGGTTCCTTCTTAAGACAAAGGACCATTCATCTTTATCTTTCTATAGTATTGCACACCTCTGGCATATAATAAGCATTCAAAAACCATTTGATCAACCAATCAATCAATCTTTTATCCTCCAATGTCAAGCTAAGTCAGTTTCTAACATGTAGAAAACACTAAATCAATGTGTTTGTTGAGTTAGCATGTTATGAATACATCATTCATCTAAATCCCTGAGTTTTGGAGGCAGGAAAATCAGAAGGATGCTGGCATTGGAGATGGGCAAGTCTGGAGTCAAGGGAGCCCCAGCCCCACTCTGCAGTATCTATTTGGACTTAAACAAGTCCAGTAACCTTTCTGCATTTCAGACACTTCATCTGTTACAAAAGGATTATAGCTTTCAAGGTGCCGCGAGGGGTTGAAAGACAATGTGTGGAGCTCCCAACAAAGTGTGTGGCCCAGGGTAAGCCCAAGAATCATAAAAGTCGATGTGATGATGGTGTTATTATTAAGTGCCTTGTACATGTTTATGCCTTGGGTGCCCACGAATACAATTAGTAATGACTATTTTCATCATTGTGGGCACCAAGAGGCTTTCTGAGGTTTTTTTCCAAGCAGAACAGAACCAAGAACTAATTATTATACTCCAAACCCTTATTCTTAGTCTCAAGACTAAGCAGCACATGCCATGAGAGTTAGAGTCCTCCCTCCAGCTAGGAGCCTCTGCTAGGAAGCAGGCCAGTGAGCTATCCATAAAAGCACAACCTCTGCTAGAGAACAGTAAGCTGCAGACAGGTTTTATATGTGGCTATTCTTCTCAGACCAGAAGAGACATTCTGTTGGCATTTTCATCTAACAGTATAAAGTTACAATACAAATATAAGGGTAGTTGTTATTGGATAACACTTTAACAGCATTTTCTTTTTAAATCTCTGTATAGAGAGGATTTCTATTAACATATAACAGGCCAAAAACCTGAGCATCATCCTGAGCATCATTCTTTCTCTCACGCCCTGCCTCCAATCCCTCAGAAAATGTGATTGTCCTACTTTCAAGATCTACCCAAATCTGGCTTTTCTCACCACCTCCAATGCTACAACCTGGTTGGAGTCACCATCATCTTTCACTGGGAGGTTGCACAAGCCTCTCACAGACTCCACTGTTTCTACCCCTGACCCCTGCAGTCTACTCTGAGCACAGCAGTCAGAAGCATTCTTTTGAGACTTCCTTTTAGACACACTTCTGCCCAGCACCCTGCAATCGCTTTCCACTTCTGAGCTGGTGGGCTCTGAGGCCATCCGTGGTCTGGACCCAATACCAGTCCAACCTCCCCTCTGAAAGCTCCACCCTCCCTCACTGCTGCAGCCATGCCAGACTCCATGCTCATCCATGGATGCAAGAGGCAAGCACCTGTCTCATGATCCTTGCTCTATCTGCTCTCCATTTGGAAGTCTCTTCTCTCAGATAGCCATGATCTATTTCTTTATCTTTTTCAAATTTTGGCTCAAGCTTCTTCTTTTCAGGGGGTCTACCCACTGCTCTGATCACCCCGCTTAACCCTGAAACCTCCCTCACCCAGACACACACAGCACAGCACTCTGCACTCTCATCACTCTGTCCTACTGTTCTCCATAATTCTGTTCACTTTTACCACTCTGTACTGCCCACTTTATTGTGTTTATTGTTGACTACCTGCCCCTCCCTGTGAAAAACAAGCACCTTGAGGATGGAGATCTTTGTCTCTTTTGTTCACTGATTTGCTGAAGCACAGAAAACTTATGAGCAGTGCTTGGCTCATAGCAGGTACTCAGGAAATACTGAATCAGTGAATATAAACTAAGAAGACAATGATGCCTTACCATGAGTGGAAAGATGCCCATCATGTGGGAAGCAAGCAAATCTTTATGTGTGCAAAATCAGGGCTTTGCCACCTGTTTAGAGCAACCATTTCTTCCTCTGCTTAGAGGCATCAACAGGATATGAGCAGGTGTTTAGTAGAGAATATAATCAGTTTAGTTTTTCAGAGCAGATGATACAAAAATATTCTTCTCACACAGATTATGAGATATTGAGCCTAACGGTTTTGAAATTTAGGAAAAGTTAATATGAATGAGAGAAAAATAACCAAAAAGAAATAGCAATTATTCCTTACTAATGTTATTTTTCTGTCTGCAAAGTAAACATAGTAAAAGAAATTTTTCACTTTAAGTTATGAAAGTTGACACTATTATCTATAATTTTTACATGTGCCTCTATTATATGTCCTCTAGCCTTTCACTAAACTAGACCCATTGTAATCTGCTATTATTTGTACTTATTTTACCTATAATTTGGAAATAAGGTGATTAGCATATTTTTCCTTAAATTTTATTCCTGGTCTCAAAGACTTTTTCGACATAGTCATTAACTCTAAGACTAAACAAAAGTGAATAGCTAAAGAAAAGGTTATACTGGGCTGGAAAGCTACAGGTTGAAGGCCAGTTTGGCCCACATTTTTTTTTTTTTTATAAAGATGATTGAAACAGCCATGCCCATTCACCTGCCTCTTGTCCATGGCTGCTTTCTAACTGGCAGAGTTGAGTATTTGTGACAGAGACCATATGGCCACAGAGCCAAAAATATTTACTCTCTGTCCCTTTACAGAAAACGTTTGCTGACCTTTATGAGGCAGTCGATCTTCCTCCTACTGGCTTTTCACATGTTGCTGTGTGTCTGTGTGAGGTCATTTATTGAGCACCAAATGTGCCAAATATGCATCATGACTATGCGTCTAGCACAAGACGGTGACGATCGCAAACATGTCATGATAGTTGCCGAAGGTGCTGTGGACAAACATCACTCCCTTCCCTCCACGTTAGAGACAAGATGGGAAAGAGAAGTGGGGAGAAATTGTTCATATCCACAAAAAGACGTCCTTCACTAAAGAGCACTGGCTCAGCCCTTGAATGCTGAGAAACTAAAAACAGAGAAAGGTTAAGGACACAGGAAACAGGGATGACGAATAGCTCCTTACATTTTCTAATAACTCAGGGTATTGCAGGTGGCCAGAGCCAACCCAAATCATCACATCCAAACATGGGACAAGGCAAAACCTGAAACTGTTAAGAGACATGCAGCGTCAGTTTGATTCCCGCTGCGGACGAGGGGCAGCCTGCACATGCTGAGGATGGACCCCGACCCTCCTGTTGCTAGCAGGCTGAGGGCAATGCCATCTCTATGCTACCTTGTGTCAGGTCACCACAGTGTCCCCAGCATCTGAATGCTGAGTGCAACCAAGGCTTTAGTTCAGCAACGTGAAACACCAGCTGCACTCCACACCCCGGCACCCCCACGCTGCATCCCACACCCCGGCACCCCCACGCTGCACTCCACACCCCGGCACTCACACGCCGCACTCCACACCCCGGCACCCCCACGCTGCACTCCACACCCCGCCTCTCACACGCTGCATCCCACACCCCGGCACCCCCACGCTGCACTCCACACCCCGGCACTCCCACGCTGCATCCCACCCTAGGAAAGCACAAGGAAATCATGTGAGCACCACAGGGGCCAATTTGTGCTGCATCTTCTCCAGCATTCCAGTCAACAGACACTGAGCAGTAGACAGGAAAGAATTCCTCAAGCTGAGTTCAACAGGAATCCCTTCCTTGAGAATATGTACCAGACCACAGGATTATTTTAGAAAGCATTAATCCTAGGAACATGTACTTGGGGTGATTCCTAACAGACTAGGAGTTATAAATAGAGCACAGACATATTTGGTCTATAAATAAAATTCTTTTAACTGATGTTTTATTGTGGTAAGATATACATGACTAAAATGTGCCATTTTAATGATTTTCAAATGTACAACTCAGTGGCATTAAATTCATTCCCATTGTTGTGCAGCCATCACCAATATCCACTCCAGCACTTTTCATCATCCCACACTGAAACGCTGTACCTTTCAGGTAGGAGAGAAAAAACACCAGAGAGGAGACAGGACTAACGTGCAGCTCCCATTTAGACAAACAGATCAGCGTCTGGAGATTCACATTGTGAACTTCTGTTCCAAGAACCAGTGTAGGGACATACTAGGGAGACTGAAAGAATTCACAGACCCTTTGAAAGAAGTGGCTTGCCACTGCAAATGCTGCAAGACAGCTGAAAAACTGTGAGTTCCCAAAGTGTGAGAGGCGAAAAAGTCTGCCTCTGAACACACATCCCCACTGGGGAACCTGAAAATTCAGATCACAGGAGAAGGCTTTAATCTTACCTAGAGCTGAAATGGATTTAGGAAGCCGAGCAAAATATAAAAGTAGAAGAAGCAGTGGGAAGAGCCCTGTAGGCACTCCCAGTCCCCAGCGAAGCCCAGGGAAGCCATTCCTGGCCTTATGTCACAGTCCTTGGGGAAGGGAGGGGAGCCAGTGAAATTGCAGAGGGGCCACAGGGTGACAGAAGCTCCTAGCTGAACTTTGTAATAATTTTGACTGAGCACAAACTTTCCTGAGTAGAATGGAGATGGTGGGTTGTGGGAGTGGGTGGCAAATGGGAAGCACAATAGAGCACAGAAGCTTGCAGCCAAAGGTGTGAGCAGGCAGAGAGGTGAAGCCTGAGAGCCCTGCTTGCTTTCTCAGTGGAATGGCTTGTAGCCTGGGGCAAGATCTCAGCCCTGCTCACTGGCTGCCAGGATATAAACTCAGTGCAGTTTGGGTGGCATACAGGAGACTGGCCCCACTGGCTGCATGAGAGCTGGGTGAGGCCTGTCACTGGCAGCTTTCCCCCACCTTCCCTGGCAACCAGAATGATGCAGCAAAGGCTCCATTGGCCTGAGAACCACCCCATAATCCCCCATAGTGGCTGAAGCAAGCCCTGCCCAAGGAGAGTCTGAGCTTAGACATGCCTAGCCCTGTCTTCAGCTGATGGTTTTTCTCTACCTGCCCTGGTAGCTGAAGACAAAAGACATAAACTCTTGGGAGCTCTATGTCCCTGCCCATCACCTGAGAAACCCGAGTACTTATCCTGGCCAACATAGGGCAAGATGGTAGCCCCCTTCTACAACTGTAGCTTGTGCTCTCTTGAGAGTGCCACCTCCTGGCTGGAGGCCAACCAACTGAAGCCATTACAGCAACTCATAAGAGAACAACCCTGCTCCATAGAAGGAGAAAACAACAGCTAATTCCACGGTCTGCAACATCCTGGCTAACCAGAGGTCCTGAGTCTGTCCATGTGAAAATTTCACTGCTAGCATAACCAGCATTTGAGAAAACCATCACATTACAACAACCAAAAAATCCCAGAGTTCACTTCACTCCCCTGCCACCTCCACCAGAGCAGGGGCTGTTATCCAGAATTGGGAGACCTGAAGACAAATCACAGCACAGGACTTTTTGCAGACATTCTGCAGCACCGGCCTGGAGCCCAGTAGCCCCACTGGGTGTCTAGACCCAGAAGGGCATTAGCAATCACTGCAATCTGGCTCTCAAGAAGCCCTATCCCTAGAGGAAGGGGGAGGGCACACATCAAGAGAGCACCACCACGTGGGACAAGAGAATCTGAATAGCAGCCCTTGAGTTCCAGATCTTTCCACTGAAACAGTCTACCCAAATGAAAAGAAACCAAAAAAGTAATTCTGGTAATATGACAAAACAAGTTGTATAGTACCGCCAAAAGATCACACTAGCTCTCCAGCTGTGGATCCAAACCAAGAAGAAATCTCTGAATTGCCAAAAAAAAAAAAAAAAAAAAAAAAAAAAAAAAAAAAAATTGGGAGGTTGGTTATTAAGCTATTCAAGGAGGCACCAGAATAAGGTGAAAACCAACTTCAAGAAATGTTGAAAACAATACAGTATATGGATGAAAAAGTCTCCAGAGAAACAGGTATCATAAAGCAAAGACAATCACAATTTCTGGAAATGAAAGACACACTTAGAAAAATATAAAATACACTGAAAAGTTTCAACAATAGAATAAAACAAGTAGAATAAAGAACTTCAGAGCTCAATGACAAGGCTTTCAAATTAACTGAAAAAAAGAGACAAAGAAAAAAGAATTTTAAAAAATTAACAGACTCCAAGAAATTTGGGGTTTTGTTAAATAACCAAGCATAAGAATAATTGGCATTCCTGAGGAAGAAAAGAAATCTAAATGTTTGGAAAACTTATTTGAGGGAATACTCAGGGAAAACTTCCCTGGCCTTGCTAGAGATCTAGACATCCAAATACAAGAAGCTCAAAGAACACCTGGGAAATTCATCACAAAAAGATCATCACCTATGCACATAGTCATCAGGTTATCTAAAGTTAAGATGAAAGAAATAATCTTAAGAGCTGTGAGGCAAAAGCAGCAGGTAACCTATAAAGAAAAAGCTATCAGATTGACAACAGATTCCTCAGCAGAAACCCTACAGGACAGAAGGGATGGGGTCCTATATTTAGCCTCCTTAAACAAAACAATAACAGTCAAGAATTTTATATCTAGTGAAACTAAGCTTCATAAATGAAGGAGAGATAAAGTATTTTTCAAACAAACAAATGTTGAGAGAATTTGTTACTACCAAGCCAGCACTACAAAAAATGCTAAAAGGAGTCTTAAATCTTGAAATGAAACCTAAAATACACCAAAATAGAACCTCTTTAAAGCATAAATCTCACAGGATCTATAAAACAATAACACAATTAAAAAAACAACATATTGAGACTACAACTAGCATGATGAATAGAACAGTACCTCACATCTCAATATTAATGTTGAACATAAATGGATTAAATGCTTCACTTAAGAGATACAGGGCTGGGAACGGTGGCTTACACCTGTAATCCCAGCACTTTGGAAGGCAGAGGTGGGCAGATCATGAGGTCAAGAGATCTAGACCATCCTGGCCAACATTGTGAAACCCCGTCTCTACTAAAAACACAAAAATTAGCTAAGCGAGGTGGTACAAGCCATTAGTCCCAGCTACTCGGGACACTGAGGCAGGAGAATCACTTGAACTCGGGAGGTGGAGGTTGCAGTGAGCCAAGATCAGACCACTGCACTCCAGCCTGGTGACCGAGCGAGACTCCATCTCAAAAAAAAAAAAAAAGATACAGAATGACAGAATGAATAAAAATCCACCAATCAAGTATCTGCTGTCTTTAAGAGGTGCATCTAACACATAAGGCCTCACCTGAACCTAAGGTAACCAAGTGGAAAAAGATATTCCACACAAATGGATACCAAAAGTGAGTAGAAGTATCCATTCTTGTATCAGACAGAAAAGACTTTAAATCAGCAACAGTTAAATAGTGATCAAAAACTAGTCCAACAGGAGAAAAATCACAGTCCTAAATACATATGCACCTAACACTGGAGCTCCAAAATTTATAGAACAATTATCATGAGACCTAAGAAATTAGATAGACAGCAACACTATAATAGTGGGCACTTCAGTACTCCACTGACCACTAGAAAGGCCATAAATACAGGTCAACAAAGAAACAATGGAAAACTACACCCTAGAACAAATGGACTTAACAGATGTTTATAGAACATTCTATCCGACAACTGCTGAATATACGTTCTTCTCCTCAGCACATGGAACATTCTCCAAAATAGACTATATGATAGGCCACTAAATGTGTCTCGGCCGGGTGTGGTGGCTCACACCTGTAATCCCAGCACTTTGGGAGGCCAAGGCAGACATATCACCTGAGGTCAAGAGTTTGAGACCAGCCTGGCCAACATGGCAAAACCCTGTCTCTACTAAAAATACAAAAACAATTAGCTGGGCATAGTGGCATGCACCTGTAGTCCCAGCTACTAGGGAAGGTGAGGCAGAAGAATCACTTGAACCTGGGAGGAGGAAGTTTCAGTGAGCTGAGATCATGCCACTGCACTCCAGCCTGGGCAACAAGAGTGAGACTCCATCTAAAAAAAAAAAAAAAAAAACCATGTCTCAATTAATTTAAGAAAATTGAAATTATGTAAAATACTCTCTCTCAGACCACAGTGGAATAAAATTACAAATTAACTGTCAAAGGAGCCATCAAAACTATACAAATACATGGAAACTAAATAATCTGTTCCAGAATGATCCTTGGGTTAAATAAAATAAAGATGGAAATTAAAAAATATATTTGAACTGAACAAAAATAGTGACACAGCCAATCAAAATCTCTGGGACACAGCAAAAGCGGTGCTAAGAGGAGAGTTCATAGCATTGAATGCCTACATCAAAGAGTCTGAAAGAGCACAAATAAACAACCCAAGGTCACACCTCAAGGAACTAGAGAAGCAAGAACAGACCAAACCCAAATCCAGCAGAAAAAAAGAAATAACCAGGATCACAGTAGAACTAAATAAAATTGAAACAAGCAAACAAAAACAATACAAAAGATAAATGAAGCAAAAAGCTGGTTCTTTTTGCATAAACAAAAGTGAGATACTATTAGCAAGATTAATCAAGAGAAAAAGAGAGGAGATCCAAGTAAACTCAATTAGAAATGAAATGGGAGATGTTAAACTAATACCACAGAAATACAAAAGATCATTCAAGGCTACTATGAACACCTTTATGTCCACAAACTAGAAAACCTAAAAGATTTGGATAAATTATTGGAAATATATAATCCTCCTAGATTAAACCAGAAAAAAATAGAAACTCTGAACAGACCAATAACAAGTAGCAAGATTAAAACAGCAATAAAAAAACTGCCAGCAACAACAAGTCCAGGAGCAGCTGGATTCTATCAGACATTCAAAGAAGAATTGGTACCAATCCTACTGAAACTATTCCAAAAGATAGAGAAAGAGGGAATCCTCCCTAAATCATTCTATGAAGCCAGAATTACCCTAATACCAAAACCAGGAAAAGATATAACAAAAAAAAGAAAACTACAAACCAATATCCCTGATGAACATAGATGTGAAAATCCTCCACAAAATACTATCTAACTCAATTCAACAGCATATCAAAAAGATAATCCACCATGATCAAGTGTGTTTGATAACAGGGATACAGGGATGGTTTAACATATGCAAGTCAATAAATGTGATACAGCACATAAACAGAAGTAAAATCAAAAGTCATATGATCACCTCAATAGATGCAGAAAAAGCATTTGATGAAATCCAGCATCCCTTTATGATTAAAACCCTCAGCAAAACAGCATAGAGGGACATACCTTAAGGTAATAAAAGCCATTTATGACAAATCCACAGCCAACATCATACTGAATGGGAAAAGCTCAAAGAATTTTCTCTAATCAGTGGAACAAAACAAGGATGCCCACTTTCACCACTTGTATTCAACATAGTACTGAAAGTCTTAGCCAGAGCAATTAGACAAGAGAGGTAAATAAAAGGCATCCAAATCAGTAATGAGAAAGTCAAACTGTTGCTAATGCCACTGACATGACGGTATACTTAGAAAACCCTAAAGACTCATCCCAAAAGCTCATAGATCTAATAAACGAATTCAGTAAAGTTTCAGGTACAAAATTAATGTACACAAATCAGTAGCACTGCTATACACCAACAATGACCAAGCTTAGAATCAAATAAAGAATTCAATGTCTTTTACAACAGCTACAAAGAAGTAAAATACTTAAGAATATACCCAACCAAAAATGTGAAAAATCTCTACAAGGAAAACTACAAAACACTGCTGAAAGAAATCACAGACAACACAAACAAATGGAAACACATCCTATGCTCATGGATGGGTAGAATCAATATTGTGAAAAGGATAATTCTGCTGAAAGCAATTTATAAATTCAATGCAATTCCCATCAAAATACCATCATCATTTTTCACAGAACTAGAAAAAACAATCCTAAAATTCATATGGAACCAAAAAAGAGCCCATATGGCCAAAGCAAGATTAAATAAGCAAAAAGAACGAATCTGGAGGCATCACATTCTCTCACTTCAAGCTATACTACAAGGCTATAGCTACCAAAACAGCATAGAACTGATGAAAAAATAAGCACATAGACCAATAAAACAGAATAGAGAACTCAGAAATAAAGCCAAATACTTATGATCAACTGATCTTCCACAAAGCAAACAAAACATAAAATGGAGAAAGGATCCCCTATTAACACATGCTGCTGGGATAATTGGCAAGCCACATGTACAGGAATGAAACTAAATCCTCATCTCTCACCTTATACAAAATCAACTCAAAATGGATCAAAGACTTAAATCTAAGACCTGAAACCATAAAAATTCTAGAAGATAACACTGGAAAAACTCTTCTAGACATTGGCCTAGGCAAAAAGTTAATGATCAAGAACTCAAAAGCAAATGCAATAAAAACAAAGATAAACCGATGAGACTTAATTAAAGTAAAAACATTCTGCAAATCAAAAGAAATAATCATCATAGTAAACAGTCAATGCACAGAGTGGGAGAAAAGATTCGCAAACTACAAACTATGTATCCAATAGAGGACTAATATTCATAATCTACAAGAAACTCAAACAAATCAACAAGATAAAAACAAACACATCAAAAAGTGAGCTAAGGCCATGAACAGACAATTCTCAAAAGAAGATATACTAATGGCCATCAAACATATAAAGAAATGCACAACATCACTAATTATCATGGAAATGCAAATCAAAACCACAATGCAATACCACCTTTCTCCTGCAAAAATGGCCATAATTTTAAAAATCAAAAAATTATAGACGTTGGTATGGATGTTGTGAAAAGGGAACACTTTTACACTGCTTGTAGAAACGTAAACTAGTATAACTACTATGAAAAACAGTATGGAAATTCCTTAAAGAACTAAAAGTAGAACTTCCGTTTGATCCAGCAATCCCACTTGTGAGTATCTACCCAGACGAAAAGAAGTCATTCTATGAAAAAGACACTTGCACACACATTTATAGCAGCACAGTTTAACAGTTGCAAAAATAAGGAACCAGCCCAAATGCCCATCAATCAATAGTGGATAAAGAAAATGTGGTGTATATATATACCATGGAATATTACTCAGCCATAAAAATGAATGAAATAATGGTATTTGCAGCAACCTTGATGGAGTTGGAGATCACTATTCTAACTGATGTAAATCAGGAATGGAAAACCAAACATCGTATGTTCTGACTTATAAGTGGAAGCTATGCTATGGGGACGCAAAGGCGTAAGAATGACATAATGGACTCTGGGACTTGAGGAGAAGTGGGTGATAAGGGACAAAAGGCTATACATTGGGTACAGTGTACACTGCTTGGGTGATGGGTGCACCAAAATCTCATAATCACCACTCAAGAACTTATCCATGTAACGAAACACCACCTGCTTTCTCAAAACTATTGAAATAATAATAATTAAAAAAAAAAACCTCTGTACCTTTCAAACAATAACTCTCCATTCTGCCTTCCCCCAGCCCCTGGCAACCATCATTCTGCTTTCTGTCCCCATGAATCTTACTAAGTATATTGTATGAGGGGAATCACAGAATATTTGTCATTTTGTGACTGACTTATTTCACTTAGCATAACATCTTCAAGGTTTATCCATGTTGTAGTATGTCTCAGAATTTCATTGCCTCTTAATGCTGATTAATATTTCATTGTATGTATGTAGCACATTTTGCTTATCTATTCTTCCACTGATGGATCTTTGGGTTGCTTCCACGTTTTAGCTGTTGCAAGTAATGCTGCTATGGACATGGGTATACACACATTTGTTTAGGTCCCTACTTTCAATTCTTTTGGATATATCCCCAGAAGTGAAAATGCTGAATGACAAGATATATCTATTTTCAATTTCTTGAAGAACCTCCAAACTGTTTTCCATTGCTACTGTACCATTTTACATTCCCACCAGCAGTGTCAAGGGTTCAAATATCTGTTTTTGTTTTTGTTTTCTAGTAGTAGCCAAACTAATGGCTAGAAAGTGGTACATTGTTGCAGTTTTGATATGCATCCCTATTAATTAGTGATATTGGGCACAGGCACATTTTTAAAAACATACAATCAATAAAATTGTTAGGTCATGGGGATTGAAAGTGGTCAGTTTTTCTGGGTAATATTTATTGCTCTTCAAAGTGATTTGCATTTACAAGAATTGTTAACACATAACAAGCATCCTAGATTTGTTTTAAGAAACAAGGGACTTTACAATTTTTCACTTTTAGTTAACTTTGAAATACTAAGATTTATAGAAAAGTTGTAAGGATAGTATAAAGTGTTCCAGGAAGCCTTCCACCCAGTCTCCCCTAATTGTAGCGTGTTATATAACCATGACACATTTATCAAAACTAAGAAATCAACATTGCTACACTATTGACTAAACTATGGACTTTATTTGTCTTTTTGCCAGTTTTTCCAATAATACCCTTTTCCTATTCAAGGATCCAATCCAGAATACCACGTTGCATTCATCTGTTATGTCTTCTTAGTCTCTGCCAATCCGTGACAGCGTCGCTGTCTTCCCTTGTTACTCATGAACTTGACACTTTTGAAGAGTATTAGTCAGGTATTTTGTAGAATGCTCCTCAGTTGCTGATGTTTTCTCATGATTGGACTGGCATTCTGGATTTGGGGGTAAGGTAACACAGTGGTGACGTCCTTCTCGTTGCATCATTTCCGGGGATGCTTGACATCAACACTACTTATCATTGGTGATGCTCACCTCCATCACTTGGATAAGGCCAAATCTTTCAGATTTTTTCGCTGTAGGGTCACTATTTTTACTTTTCCAAAACTCTATTTATTACAAGCAAGGCACTAAATCCAGCTTACTTTCATAAGGAGGGAAATTAAACTCCACCTGCTGGAGGAAAAAGTATGAAAGAATTTGTGGATATATGTTAAATTCAGTACAGTAATTAATAAATCTTTGGGCACAGATATTTGAGGTTATGCAAATATCCTGTTTCTTCCTTATGTTTCAGACACTAATTTCAGCAGTCTTCCATGAATCTTCCCTATGGCGACTATTACTGTGGTATTCTAGTGGTGTATTAGTCCATTCTTACACTGCTAATAAAGACATATGGGAGACTGGGTAATTTATAAAGAAAAAGATGTTTAATGGACTCACAGTTCCACAGGACTGGGGAGGCCTCACAATCATGGCGGAAGGCAAAGATAGAGCAAAGGCACATCTTGTATGGTGGTAAGCAAGAGAGCATGTGGAGGGGAACTGCCCTTTATAAACCATCAGATCTCATGAGATTTATTCACTATCACCAGAACAGCATGGGAAAAAATCAGAGCCATTATTCAATTACCTCCCACTGGGTACCTCCCAGGTCAGGTGGGGATTATGGGAGCTACAATTCAAGACAAGATTTGAGTGGGGACACAGCCAAACCACATCAAGTGGTGTCTTCCATTTCCCTCATTTCTTTTATGTTTACTATTTGGAAATCTTCCACAAGGAAGATTTTTTTCACTTCTCCTTCAATTATTTATGTATGTAACCATTTATTTTTATCAGTATAAACTCACTGATATTTACTTTTTTCTTTGGGTTATAACTCAGTAGTATTTTTATTAATTTTGTTGTTCAAAGTTTTCCAGCTTTGGCCACTGGGAGCTCTTTCAGGTTGGCTGCATGTTGCTTTGTCAGGCCTGTTCCCTGACCCCTTACTTTCTGGCAACACAAGGTCCTCCAGGTTCATCATGCATTTTCCCTTCCCTAGCCCTTGAGTCAGGCAGTTCTCCAGGGAGTCCTAGTTCAACAGGGACAACTTTTCAAATCAACTTCCATGTGTTGCTATGTATAATTTTCAGATTATTTCTTTTCTTTTTTTTTTTTTGAGATGGAGTCTCGCTCTTTCGCCCAGGCCAGAGTGCAGTGGCACGATCTCCGCTCACTGCAAGCTCTGCCTACTAGGTTCATGCCATTCTCCTGTCTCAGCCTCCTGAGTAGCTGGGACTACAGGCACCCGCCACCACGCCTGGCTAATTTTTTTTTTTTTTTTTTTTTGTATTTTTAGTAGAGACGGGGTTTCACTGTGTTAGCCAGGATGGTCTCCATCTCCTGACCTTGTGATCCGCCCGTCTTGGCCTCCCAAAGTGCTGGGATTACAGGCATGAGCCACCACGCCCGGCCAATTTTCAGATTATCTCTATGCTATAATTAATGCTATAATTAACTATAGATTTTCCATAATTAAGTCATATGTATTACAGCACTCAGACTAACAGGCTGCAGTAAGAAGGAACATGAACCTATCACCAATGCTTTACCCTTCTTTCTCTAGCACTCACCTGGTAATCTCTGTGGGCCCAACTGGCTCTAAGATTCTATGATTCTATAATGAAAAGACAAAAGGCAAAAGATGTTCCCATAAGGGACATTTCTTTGAATCAGAAAATTGTTTCATTTTGCCAAAAATAAATTTAAGCCCTAGTTGACCTCCATTTTGCCTTTTCTATCCTTCCTGTAGTTTAATCCTATTCCTTCCATTTTATTATCAATTTTGAAATGAAAATTTAAATTTGTTTTGCTTGATCAAATTATGATATAAATAAAGTAATAAAAATACAAAACAATAAATTATACTTACTTATAAAGTCTACAGCTTCTTGAAATTAACATATTATAATCTACTGCTGCTGAAATCTTTAGTCATCAAACAGTTTAAACACTAGAGTAGTGGTTCTTGACAGAGGGGACTTTGCCCCGATATGGATTGGCTGTGCCCCCATGCAAATCTTATCTTGAATTGTAGCTTCCACAATTCCCACATGTTGTGGGAGGGATCAAGTAGGAGGTAATTGAATCACGGGGAAAGGCTTTTCCCATGCTCTTCTCATGATAACTAATAAGTCTCATGAGACATAATGGTTTTGTAAGGGAGAACCCTTTTCACTTAGTTCCCATTCTCTCTTGCTGCTGCCATGTAAGAAGTACTTTTCGCCTTCCACCATGATTGTGAGGCCTCCCTAGCCACATGGAACTGTGAGTTTATTAAACCTATTTTCTCTCCAGTCTCAGGTATGTCTTTATCAGCAGTGTGAAAATGAACTAATACAGTAAATTGGTACCAGTGGACTGGGGCATTGCTGAAAAGATACCCAAAAATGTGAAAGCAACTTTGGAACTGGCTAACAGGCATAGGTTGAAACTGTTTGGAGGGCTCAGAAGAAGACAGAAAATATAGGAATATTTGGAACTCCCTAGTAAAGACTTTTAAATGGCTTTGAGCAAAATGCTGATAATGATATGGGCAATGAAATCCGGGCTGAGGTGGTCTCAGATGGAGAGGAGGAATTTGTTGGGAACTGGAGCAAAGGTGACTCTTGCTATATTTTAGCAAAGATACTGGCAGCATTTTGCCCCTGACCTAGAGATTTGTGGAACTTTGAACTTGAGAGAGATGATTTAGGGTATTTGGCAGAAGAAATTTCTAAACAGCAAAGCATTCAAGGTGTGACTTGGGTGCTGTTAAAAGTGTTCAGTTTTAAAAGGGAAACAGAGCATAAAAGTTTGACAAATTTGCAGCCTGACAATGTGATAGAAATTAAAATCCCATTTTCTAAGGAGAAATTCAAGTTGGCTGCATAAATTTTCATAATTAATGAGGAGCTGAATGTTAATCACCAAGACAATGGGGGAAATGTCTCCAGGGCATGTCAGAGACCTTTGTGGTAGCTCCTCCCACCACAGGCCCAGAGGCCTAGGAGGAAAAAATGGTTTCATTGGCCGGGACCAGAGTCTCTCTGCTGTGTGCAGTCTAAGGACTGTGTTCCAGTTGCTCCATCCATGACTAAAAGGAGTCAAGGTACAGCTTGGGCCATGGCTTCAGAAAGTGCAAGTTCCAAGCCTTGGCAGCTTCCATGTGGTGTTGAGCCTGCAGGTGCAAAGGAGTCAAGAATTGAGGTTTGGGAACCTCTGCCTAGTTTTCAGAAGATATTATGGAAACATCTGGATGTCCAGGCAGAAGTTTGTTGCAGCAGTGGGGCCCTCATGGAGAACCTCTGCCAGGGCAGTGAAGAAGAGAAATGTAGGGTGGGGACCCCCACAGACTCCCCACTAGTGTGCTGCCTAGTGAAGCTGTAAGAAGAGAGCCACCATCCTCCAGACCCCAGAATGGTAGATCCACTGACAGCTTGCACAATGCACCTGGAAAAGCCACAGACACTCAATACCAGCCCATGAAAGCAGCTGGGAGGGAGGCAGTATCCTCCAAAGCCACAGGGGCAGAGCTGCCTGAGATCACGGGAACCCATCTCTTGCATCAGCATGACCCAGATGTGAGACATGGAATCAAAAGACATCATTTCGGAGCTTTAAAATTTGACTGCCCTGCTGCATTTTGGACTTGCATGGGGCCTGTAGCCCCTTGGTTTTGGCCAATTTCTCCCATTTGTAACAGCTGTATTTACCCAATACATGTACCTACATTGTATCTAGAAAGTAATTAACTTGCTTTTGATTTTATGGGCTCATAGGCAGAGGGGACTTGCCTTGTCTCAGATGAGACATTGGACTGTAAGCTTTTGAATTAATGCTGAAATGGGTTAACAATTTGGGGTTCTACTGGGAAGGCATGATTGGTTTTGAAATGTGAGGACATGAGATTTGCGAGGGGCCAGGGATAGAATGATATGGTTTGGCTGTGTTCCCACACAAATCTCATCTTGAATTGTAGCTCCCACAATTCCAACATGTTGTGGGAGGGACCCAGTGGGGGGTAACTGAATCATGGGGGCACGTATTTCCTGTGCTGCTCTTGTGACAGTAAGTCTTACAAGATATGATGGTTTTATAAGGGGAAACCCCTTTCAGTCAGTTCTCATTCTCTCTTGCTGCTGCCATGTAAGAAGTGCCTGTTTCCTTCTGCCATGATTGTGAGGCCTCCCAAGCCACGTGGAATTGGGAGTCCATTAAACCTATTTTTCTTCCCAATCTCAGGTATATCTTTATCAGCAGTGTGAAAATGGACCAATAGAGCCCCCAAGGGACACTTGTCAATCTCTAGAGACATTTATGGTTGTGGCATCCTGGAGGGATACTACTGGCATCTAGCAGGGACAGTCCTGAAATGCTGCTAAGCGTCTTATAATATATCAGAGCCCACCACACCAAAGAATTATCCAGCCCAAAAGCCAGTAGTCTCAAGACTGGTAAATTATGGTCTAAAGGGACTTTTAATTTTCTAATTGGCTAGCTGGCTAAGTAACAGATATTTTCCTCCAAAACGCTTAAGGAAAATGATTAGCAAATTCCAAGGACTACTGCCACTAAAATGTTGAGTACAATAAAGAATTGCCTGGAAGAATCAGATGATAGAATACTTAGGATCCACTGTAGCTATACAGTGCCAAGAAAGCAAAGACGCAGTTAGACTCATGTTACATCTTAACTTATTCCATTTTGAATAAGTGACTTATCTGACACAGCAAGGGTCAAATGCATCTGAAAAATACACTGTTAAATGCATGAATTATCAGTAAGTTAGCACTTTAAACAAACACACTGATGGTCTGTTGGCTAACATGATATGGTTCTAGTGTGATGTAGGTAAGTGAATTTGGGGCCAGGAGATAGAATCTAGGAGTGTAGTCATGGCTCCATCTCTTGCTGACTGAGTGACTCTAGCTAGGTCATATGGCTTACCTGGGCTTCAGTTTCTGCATCTGATAAACGTGAACGCTTATATATGTCTGTTTTATCTACCTCACTGGTCATTGTGAGAATTCTTTTTTTAAGTACACTTTCTCTTTATTTGAGTATTGATATATTCTCATATTTTTTTATACTCCTCATATATGGTTTTGGAAATAACAATGTATTTGGAAGACCAAGGAAAAGTAGATTCCTCCAGGGAGGAGGCTTCACACCCCCATGTAGAGACATGATTGGGCTCCTATAATTAACTAACTTCTCTCCTCTCATATGTCTCATTAGAGTGTAAAAATAGATTTTTAAAAGTATCATAGACAAGCCACAGACTTGTAGAAAATATTTTCAAAATGCATATCTGATAAAAAATGTGTATCTAAAATGTACAAAGAACTCTTAAAATTCAACAATAAGAAAACAAGCAACCCAGTTAAATAATGTAAAAAAACCTGAACAGACCCCTCACCAAAGAAGGTAAACAGATGCCAAATAAGGATATGAAAAAATGCTCAATATTGTTTGTCAACAGAGAATTGCAACTTAAAATGACAACAAAGTACCACTACATAACTATTGTAATTTTTGAACTGGAACAATTTGAGCAATAAAATAAATAGAATAATATATAATTTTAACTCAAAGTACCAAATAAATATCCATGAGTCCATACTGTTACTAATAGATAATTGAATAAATATTTAAATGGGGGATATGAGACAAATTATGCATAAGAATTCTAAATAATTTGTCTGGATACTCCACCCTCAGGAGGTGGAGCAAAACTTCTCACTCATTAAGTGTGGGCTGCACAAAGTGGCCTCCTTCTAAAGAGTGCACTATGGAAAGAGAAAACCTAACAAACACCACCTTGGCCAAGGTGAACAAGGTCACCATAAATAGTGATTAGTCATGTTGACAGTATGTACCCTTCAGACGATGTGATGATGATGGCACCTTACCTCTGTGGTTCTCCTCCCCAAAAGCCATGACCCCAGTCTAATCATGAGAATAACAACATAAAGATTTCAGTACGGGGCATCCTACTGTACCCCTGATCAGTGCTCTTCCAAACCTGCAAGGTCATACAAAGCAGAAAATGTCCCAGCAACTGCCTCAGCCAGAGGAACCTCAGGAGACTTGACAGCTAAATGTTTCTTGGGATCTTGAATGAGATCCCAGAACAGAAAAGGACACTCAGTGAAAACCACATAAATGTAAGTAAAATATAGGCTTTAAGTAATAAAAATATATCAATATTGGTACATGAATAATAATAAATGCACTAATATAATATATATAATATTGTAAGACGTTAATGATAAACACAGCCGAGGGTGGACGTGAACTCTGTGTACTCTAAGTTCACAATATTTCTGTAGATATGCAAATCTCCTAAAACAAAGTTTATTTTAAAAACAATATTATTATAATGATTGATGAAAAACATTGTGAGAGAGCAGTCGTGGTTTAAACTGTTATTGCACTTTGTGAGCATTTGGTTTTTCTAACAGAAGATGGAACTAGAAGACACACCTTTAGATTTGCTCAGTAGTTTACCCTGGGGCAGCTGGTACCACCCCTCTGTCATTAGCCATTTAGGAAAGCTAGGAGAAAAGTGTCATTGTTTAATTACATGTCAGAGGACAATGAGCGTCACAGAGTGCATGTGGAGTATGTTGGAAAATGTTTCCTTCCACACAGTGAGCCTGATATATCTCTCTAATAAAGGGCAAATGGAGAAGGACTTCCATCCCTGTCACTGAGTATGTACCACCAGGGCTGTCAGCTGTGGACCATCCCCATCACTGAGTATAGGCCACTAGTGTTGTCAGCTGTGGACCATCCCTGTCACTGAGTATGGGCCACCAGGTTTTGTCAGCTGTGGACCATCCCTGTCACTGAGTATGGGCCACCAGGTTTGTCAGCTGTGGACCATTCCTGTCACTGAGTATGGGCCACCAGGGTTGTCATCTGTGAATGGAAACCATTCATCTCTCCAGGACGCTGGAGCCCTAGTGAAGTGAATGTGCTCATATGAAGACTCACACAAGTATAAAATGTTTAGGCTTCTTGGGGATGAGGCTGGCTATGGCCACTGGCTGGAAAACAGGGTGTGTTTTCCTACCATCCTTCCCTCTTTCTCTATTCCATTCATATCAGCCTCAGACTTTCTGAAAAAAAAAAAAAAAAAAAAAAAACCCACAATAAAATTAGTTCTTCATGTAGAGCCCAGAGCAGTTTGGTTTTGTATCCAGGATTCCTGTAAAGATAATATATTTCTCCCCTAAGTTTCACCTTAGAATGTCTCTTCTCGAACCATAGCAATTTCCCTCTCAGCTAAACAGAAGATTTTCCCAACTAGGAAATCACCAGACATGCTGTTTCCAGGATGACTTACTTTGAATGCTCAGTGCATTTGAAACTGAACTCCCATGGATAGGAAAGGGGTATGGAGCCGTCATTACATAGCAAATCTTGAAAACGTCAAGATCATTGAACTAAAAAACTTCAAGGCTGGGTGCAGTGGCTCATGCCTGTAATCCTAGTACTCGGCCAATGCGGGTGGATCCCTTAAGCTCAGGAGTTCGAGATCGGCCTATGCAACATAGTGAGAACCCATCTCTATAAAAGATACAAAAATTAGCTTGGTGTGGTGGCGTGCACCTGTAGTCCCAGCTGCACAAGAAGCTGAGGTGGGAAGATGGCTTGAGCCTAGGAGGTGGAAGTTGCAGTGAGCCGAGATCGCACCACTGCACTCCAGCCTGGGCAACAGAGCCAGGCCTGTCTCAAAATCATTAATAAATAAATACATAAATAAATAAATGAATGAATAACTAATTCTATTCTTTCTTTTCCCCATCCCCACAGATAGCTACATTAATACAAATGACAGATTATAACCATATATAAATATCCCAATTAAAACAAACAAATGACTAAAACAGGTGGCAGTGTTAATTGCCGATCTCTCTGTGGTCCACATTCTGTTTCATTCCTTTAGAACGTCACTACCTACCCCTCGATCTGCAATGCTAGTAAAAGGACTTTCATGTCTGTGCACTTTAAGCGTTTTGGGGATGGCATCACAGGAGCAGAAGAGGCCATGGGAAAAGAAACTTTGAATGCAGGGAGCATACTGAGGTAGTCAGTGTGTTCTGCTGCTTGATCCTGACATCGGGCTATTGAAATTGAAGATGGAAAACCCGTATTGAGTCATTTGGCTCTTTCCCTTGAGGGCAGTAGATTATGCTGGACAGTATTTTATTTAGCACCCTGTCCATTTCTATTTTAACTTGCTCTTCCTTGGAGGCCTATTAACTCAAACCCAGCAAGGATTTTATTACAAATGGAAGGCATTCTACTAGTTGGTCATTTCTTCCACAAAACACACATTCTCCTGCTGAGATATTAAAAAACAAAATTTACCAAACAACATGAAAACAGTGCTGGATTGTAGAAGGAGCAATAAGCGGATTGTCGCAAAGTGGCTCCAGACGCTCACTCTGACTTGCCTGAAACACATGCTCACTGAGAATCCTCAACACTGGGTCCCTGGAAATAGGGACCATGTGACACTAAGCGACCTGTAGCACTGATATCCTCATAGCCCCTTTTCCCCACAGGTCCCACGATACCCAGGTTCTGGGCAGTTAGTGTTCCCAGGCAATTCTCATAAACAGCTACACCACATGCAGACTGCTTGGTACTGAGGAAATCTCATTCAACATCGACAAGTTTGCTTTCAGGCTTGCCCTTTGTAAAAGTCAGAGTGGCCCCAGTGGAATGCAAGTCCATGCTACTGGTCAGAAAAATATCTTGGTCCTCGTGTTTTCTCTATGGCAAAGATGAGAGGATGAGGGACACTGGGCTTTTCTCCTCCCGGGTTCTGTAAGCTTCTGCCTTCCTAAAAAGGCTGATTCCCTAACTCATGCCATTCTCCAACCTGGTGCATGAAAGACAGTGTCCCAGATGGCATCTTCCTTGAACAACGAAGAACGAGGACTTCTGGAGCCAAAAGCTGGGTTAAATATGTGCTCTGATGTTCATTCGCTACAGGAGCCTCGGGTTCCGCATCTGTCAACTAGAAATAACACCCTTGCCTTAGGCAGGGGCTGTGGTAACGTGCTGTGGGTACATAGTGACGGTCAGAACAGTAAAGAAATGCAATCAGTGGTAGCTACTACTGTTGGCATAATTACGAACAGCAGGAGGATGAACAGACACCCCCTGAAAACTTAGGAACATTATTTTTAAATCACATGTAGTGTGAAAAGTACACAGTTTGGTTTGTTATACAGAAACAAGAGGTTTAAATCCATGGAGTAGAAGATAACGATAATGCACTGATTGCTGGTTATGAAAGTCAGGAAGAAAATAACCAAGTTCAGTGCTCATCTTGATCTAAGACCATTCATGGCCTGACCTCTCTAATGCGCAGAGGATAAAACACGGGAGTGCATGATGCTCACCAAGGATCAGTCAGAATTTCTCCAAGGATCAGCTCCCAAATCAACCAAAACTTCTCCAAGGTTCAGCTCCCAAATCAACCAGAACTTCTCTAAGGATCAGCTCCCAAATCAACCAGAACTTCTCCAAGGTTCAGCTCCCAAATCAACCAGAACTTCTCCAGGGATCAGCTCCCAAATCAACCAGAAATTTTCCAAGGATCAGCTCCCAAATTAGCCAGAACTTCTCCAGGGATCAGCCCCCAAATCAACCAAAACTTCTCCAAGGATCAGCCCCAAATCAACCAAAATTTCTCCAAGGATCAGCTCCCGAATCAACCAAAACTTCTCCAAGGATCAGCCACCAAATCAACCAGAACTTCTCCAAGGTTCAGCTCCCAAATCAACCAGAACTTCTCCAAGGATCAGCCCCCAAATCAGCCAGAACTTCTCCAGGGATCAGCCCCCAAATCAGTCAGAACTTCTCCAAGGATCAGCTTCCAAATCAACCAGAACTTCTCCAAGGATCAGCTCCCAAATCAACCAGAACTTCTCCAAGGTTCAGCTTCCAAATCAACCAGAACTTCTCCAAGGATCAGCCCCCAAATCAGCCAGAACTTCTCCAGGGATCAGCCCCCAAATCACCCAGAACTTCTCCAAGGATCAGCTCCCAAATTAGTCAGAACTTCTCCAAGGATCAGCTTCCAAATCAACCACAACTTCTTCAGGGATCAGCCCCCAAATCAGCCAGAACTTCTCCAAGGATCAGCTACCAAATCAGTCAGAACTTCTCCAGGGATCAGCTCCCAAATCAGCCAGAACTTCTCCAAGGATCAGCTCCCAAATCAACCAGAACTTCTCCAAGGATCAGCTCCCAAATCAACCAGAACTTCTCCATGCATCGGCTCCCAAATTAATCAGAACTTCTCCAAGGATCAGCCCCCAAATCAACCAGAACTTCTCCAGGGATCAGCCCCCAAATCAGCCAGCACTTCTCCAGGGATCAGCTCCCAAATCAACCAGAACTTCTCCAAGGATTAGCTCCCAAATCAACCAGAACTTCTCCAAGATTCAGCTCCCAAATCAGTCAGAACTTCTCCGAGAATCAGCTCCCAAATCAACCAGAACTTCTCCAAGATTCAGCTCCCAAATCAGTCAGAACTTCTCCAAGGATCAGCTCCCAAATCAGTCAGAACTTCTCCAAGGATGAGCCCCCAAATCAACCAGAACTTCTCCAAGGTTCAGCTCCCACATCAGTCAGAACTTCTCCAAGGTTCAGCCCCCAAGTCACCCGGAACTTCTCCAAGTTTCAGCTCCCAAATCAGTCAGAACTTCTCCAAGGATCAGCCCCCAAATCAACCAGAACTTCTCCAAGTTTCAGCTCCCAAATCAGTCAGAACTTCTCCAAGGATCAGCCCCCAAATCAACCAGAACTTCTCCAAGGATCAGCTCCCAAATCAACCAGAACTTCTCCAAGTTTCAGCTCCCAAATCAGTCAGAACTTCTCCAAGGATCAGCCCCCAAATCACCTGGAACTTCTCCAAGGATCAGCCCCCAAATCAACCAGAACTTCTCCAAGGTTCAGCTCCCAAATCAGCCAGAACTTCCCCAAGGTTCAGCCCCCAATTCACCCAGAACTTCTCCAATGATCAGCCCCCAAATCAACCAGAACTTCTCCAAGGTTCAGCTCCCAAATCAACCAGAACTTCTCCAAGGTTCAGCTCCCACATCAGTCAGAACTTCTCCAAGGTTCAGCCCCCAAGTCACCCGGAACTTCTCCAAGGATCAGCCCCCAAATCAACCAGAACTTCTCCAAGTTTCAGCTCCCAAATCAGTCAGAACTTCTCCAAGGATCAGCCCCCAAATCACCCGGAACTTCTCCAAGGATCAGCCCCCAAGTCAACCAGAACTTCTCCAAGGTTCAGCTCCCAAATCAGCCAGAACTTCCCCAAGGTTCAGCCCCCAAATCACCCAGAACTTCTCCAATGATCAGCCCCCAAATCAACCAGAACTTCTCCAAGTTTCAGCTCCCAAATCAACCAGAACTTCTCCAAGGATCAGCTCCCAAATCAACCAGAACTTCTCCAAGGATCAGCTCGCAAATCAGCCAGAACTTCTCCAAGGATCAGCTCCCAAGTCAGCCAGAACTTCTCCAAGGATCAGCCCCCAAATCAGCCAGAACTTCTCCAAGGTTCAGCTCCCAAATCATTCAGAACTTCTCCAAGGATCAGCTCCCAAATCAACCAGACCTTCTCCAGGGATCAGTTCCCAAATCAGCCAGAAATTCTCCAGGGATCAGCTCCCAAATCAGCCAGAACTTCTCCCAGGGTGGGAGATCTTTTGATCTCATGCAGTCCCTTCATAGTGCTCAGCATTTTACCCAGAAAAGCATCAGTCACCCGTAAAGGCTAAGTTTTAAACACTGTAAAACCAGAAAATGTTATATACACGACTGTGTGAGGCGTGAACGTGGGGAAGTGAGTGTGAAAGTGCATGAATGTGAGCATTCAAGAAGGCATGAGTGTGCGAGGGAACCCCACCAACAAAGCAAGCAAGAGGACCTGGCCTCTTTCTATTTGCGACAACCCTTAATGGGGCTCAGAGATTTCCCACTGCGTTCCTTACCCTCTTAGTGCTGCACACCGGCCTCTACAAAGCCATAAGCAAGGAAAAGAAATAGAGGATCGTGAGTTTAAACAGTTCAGAATAAATTGGTATTGGGTGTTAAGGGCTTAAATTCCACTATCTATGTTTACCGTATCTTAAGTTGAATCAAAACAAAATCCAACAACACAATGTTACAAGATGTTGCTGCCTAGAAACAACCGAAAGCTGGATTAGAGGGTCATAAATTAAGGATTGGGTACATTGTAACTAATTAAATACATACAAAAGAAAAGCAGATTTGGTAATATCATTTCAGGCTATGTAGTATTTAAAGTCTCTTATTGAGTTAAAAGAGCATCGTATTATTTTAAATTGGTAAGCTAATAATAAAGATATGACATGAATAAACTTTAATATACCAAATAAAAAAGCCCAAAAGTATATATATATAAAACAAAAAACAGACAGACGTATGGCTGCAGCTGATAAATTTTTAACTCACCATTATCAACATACAGCAGATACCATATTCAAAAATGAAACAAAATAAGAACTGAAAAAAATAAGTAATAAAATTAATGTGGTGGAACTAATAGAATATGCCAAACTTTTTATCTGAAAGTTAGAAATCTCATCCTCTTTCATACCTTCTGTCCATATACAATCACCAACTGTGAAAACAAAATTATCATCCTATTTCCAGAAATTATTAAGACAAAAAGCTGATAAAAATATTTAGCCAAACGAAGCATTAGAATACCAAATTATAGGGATGTGCGTGATGACTTAACTGTTTCTTGCACGTTTTGCTGGGCGCTGTAATTCAGATAGTTTGTGTTTTAACTTTTACAATCTTCTAGTCTGCAATAATAATTTTATAGTTTGCTGTGGAACTGCACCAAATCCATAAAATCTGCAAAAGTCCTCAAAATTCCACATATGTGGGTTGTCATTGGCCCTAATAATTGTGCTCCAAGTTTTGCACTAAATTCTTCCACAAATTAGAAATGAAAACACCATGTGTTTCAGAGGAATGAATGAAAAACACCTACCAGGACACGGCTGAGCTAACACTCAGCACCTTCCAAAATTCTGCACTTGAGTCTTTTGTAAACAACCCTGCCTTTCAGTTCCTCAGTCAACACATTAAATACACATCCTTTTCAGAAATTATTGTCTATATAGCTTATGAATCTAAAACCAGAACCATTTCACCAGGTTGGTGGGGATCTTTTCCATGTTTGCTGTGAATGGCAAAACCACATAACTCAATGGAACCACAGATGTGCAAATCTGGGTGGACAGCAGGGATGGCAGCCACCCTCAGTATGCAGATAGAGACCATGAAACTAATGTGGCTGTTAACTTGTCCCAGAAAGCAAACTCAAGGGGTTAGCAGCTGTTTTTGTTTCCTCTCTTTCTCTCTCTTCTTTTGTTGCTGACATTTGAAACATATATCTCACCATTGCTGACACCATCCCCCTCACCCCCACCAGTAGGAGTCAGTTCATTGCATGGACTGAGAGAGAGACATCTTGCCACCGGTTTCTTCTCTATCCAGATGTGATTTTTGCAGAGTAGCAGAGCACCGGAAGCTGGCTTCACCATAAAGGCTACTCTGCAGACTATTATCTTCCAGCATACATGAGGGATAGCATATGGTATGAGGGTGGGCGTTCTAATGAGACAAATCAAAGACACCAATGGTTCACAGACTTCTCTAGGAGCAAAGTATTGCCCTATAGGACACAAAGGAATTGATTTAAGAAACCCTTCAGAAAACTGGTATTGCTTTTATTTTCACTACAAAATAAATATTGAAGTAAATACAAAAAGATGTTCTCCATAATGATGTATGAGAACCTGCATGAAGTCAAGCCTGCATTCTGTGGCCACCACAAATTCAAGGCAAGCAGGACGCCACAAACTTCACCCTCCCACTCCCAAGTTTCTGCCAAATTAAGCCCCAAAGTTTAGGGACAGAAAGCAAAATATCCTAGATTCCTGTAACTCCTGGTTTGTTTTTTTTTTTTTTTTTTTTTTTGAGACGGAGTCTTGCTCTCTTGCTCTCTCACCAGGCTGGAGTGCAGTCGCGTGACAGCAACCTCCACCTCCCAGGTTCAAGCTATTCTCCCGCCTCAGCCTCCTGAGTAGCTGGGACTACAGGCATGTGCCA
The DNA here is from genome assembly GCF_000001405.40 of Homo sapiens. Classification (NCBI taxonomy): domain Eukaryota; kingdom Metazoa; phylum Chordata; class Mammalia; order Primates; family Hominidae; genus Homo; species Homo sapiens. The sequence continues at coordinate 413,182 of NT_187679.1, forward strand.
CCATGCCTGGCTAATTTTTGTATTTTTAGTAGAGACAGGGTTTCACCATGTTGGCCAGGATGGTCTCAATGTCTTGACCTCATGATCCACCCACCTTGGCCTCCCAAAGTGCTGGGATTACAGGTGTGAACCACTGTGCCCAGCCCCTTTAACTCATTTTGAAATGATTCTCACATAACATATTCACATCAATATTTTCATAACCTAAGAAATTTCCATTGACCTAGTTTCCTTAATTAACTTGTGAGAAAAATTCTTATCATTGGATTTCTTTTAATTTTCAAAATATATAAATTGATGTGCAGATCGATACAAAATAACAATTTATGCTTGTTATAAACCCATCTCTGCTCAGAGTCCTGGAAAGGACATCACAGTGGAAGGCCAAGTGGGCTGCAGGTGGCAGACACAGTTCCTCAGCCTGGACGTCACAGTGGAAGGCCAAGTGGGCTGCAGGCAGTGGACAGAGTTCCTCAGCCTGGTCAGTTGCTCCTGGGATGGTGGGTGAGTCAGAACATGTGTCTTTATTTGTCAAGTGGGGGTTAAGCCAGGCATTGTCTAAGGTGCCTCACAGAGTTAATATTCTTTGCTGTGAACTTGCTGCCAAATAGTTCATAGGACAGTTTTTATGTTCAGCCAATGGGTAGAAATGTAGCCCAAAGACCTACAACATGGGGCAGGGAATCAGGGCAGGGGACCAGGGCAGGGATCCAGGGCAGGGAACCTGCTCTCCCTTGCTGATGGTCTTCACTGTCCTCCTCTCCTTCCTCCCACGTGTCGGGATCAGTGATGAAGTGGAGGCACCTTTCAGAGAATGTATCCAGGATCTCCTTCTCCTCTCCTTCAAAAAACAGAAAGCTCGATGTTGTCTTTTATCACATCTGGTATTTGAAAATTTATGTTCTGATGAGGCACTGTGCGCAGAAGCAGAACCCGCTGCATCCAATGGTATGCTGCTATGCTGACCTCGAAGTCACTCGCCTTGGACACAGGCCGTTAACTTGACATGGTGATTTATTCGCCAATAAGCACATCTCCCATATCACAGATCAGCGAGTGGAGTGTGCTGCAAATGGTGTGGTGGCCTTGAACCCCTGAGATATCCTAGAGACATGATGGATGGGCTGGCCTGGCCTGTTGTGACTGTGGTGAAGGCAAGGGAGGCAGGGGTCTGCACCTGCCCCTGGTACAACCTGCTGCCCCACAAGCACCCAAAGCCTGCTGCCGGCATCGTCTTCCTTTGCTCTGAATCTTAGTTGTTAAGCTTTCCCCCAGAGTAACAGGAGAGTTGCAGCCTGCGGGAAAAGGACAAGATGTGAATTCTGTTTCAGGAATTTGGCCTTAAAAACAATGATGCTTATTTGTGTAGCCCAAGAGAGGAGCTCATTGAACATAAGTCAGATGCCAGGGCTGATGTGGCCTCAGATAGTAATTCTTACCTCACTGCTGTTTCAGGCAGCCAGTTCTTACATTTGCATCCATTAGTGGGAAGAGCGTCTCATCTTTCATAGAAAAGGTCGAGTGACAGCACACAGTCAACCAGGCATTGCCTCAAGAGCTGTGAGACGGTGCTCTAGGGGCACTGAGCCTCGGTGACCTGCCTGGGAGCCTCATGTAGTCCTGGAAAATCACCAGCTCTGCAAATCTCAACCCAAACAGGAAACTCTCTGCCCCGAAGTAGCACAGACATAACTCTCGATACATACGTCGATTTATCTCCACATTATTATTATTATTTAATTTTTTGTAATACAGCCTTGTTTTGACTTACAACTCCCAGAGACATCCTTTCAAGGTAATATAATTCTAGCTTTATTGCAGTTCAGATGAACATTCTTTTTTAAAGCTAAAATAATGTAAGTTGTATCAAGTACTAACACCATTCTTAGGGCTGACATGAATAATCAGATTTTCATTTTGTCCTACAATTTCATACATCCCTAGTCCATGCAAACACTTTAAAGCAACCATTTTCTAGACATAAATGTGCTGCTATATGATGATGAGACTCTGCATGATTTCTGTCTTATTCTTTATGCTTTTCTGTATTTTCCCAGTTTTCTAAAATATTAACAAAATTTGTTGTTAAAATTGTAACAACCTTTTGAAAGAACATGCATTTAAAAACAAAATTATAAATGGGACATTTATAATTATGTGGTACATTGTGATAAAGATGGTAGGCTCAGCTGGCCCTGTGTTTCTATGTTGTACATTCGAAGCACTCACAAGGTGCCCAGAGCGTCGCAAGGGCTCTGAGGCCCCTCAGACAGCAGCCAAGTAAGAAAGTTTAATTCACTAATTACAGTAGGAAAAGCTGAATTACAGAACAAGTGATGATCTGCCTGAGATGCTCATGTAATAACCTAGAACATTCCTGGGGAAAGCTGGGCCTGACTCCCACTATTCTGCTCTCTCCACACATTCCTCCAAGACCTTCTACAGACCCTTTGAGAGCGTGGAAGTTTGGAGTGTGAAGCCACGCTGAAGACGCCTTAACGTCCCAACAGTTTTGCTTCTTAATAAATTGAAGACTTACTTCAACATAATCATGCAACCAACTGAAAGACTTTTAAAAAGTTTTTTACAAAAAGAATTACTACATTTATCCTCGAGACACCAAACAAGAGCCTAACTAACATTTTCATTGAATTGGCGATTGGCTTGAGTTGTTTCCAAATTGACTTTATTTGTCCTTTGGAATCACATAGACACAACCTTAATCTAAAAGTCATTAGCAACTAAATTTAAGATTATTGACTTAGCTGCATAGAAAACCAAAAACTTGACATCCTGATGGAAAAGTTGCATTCAATTTTATAAGAAGAGCTAATATTTAAGGAGAACTTAGTATATGCCAGTGGTATTCCAAGCACCATACCCGTATTAACTTAATTCCTGTAACAACCCTAGGAAGAAGGCTACATTATTATTCTAATCTTAAAGAGGAATAAACTGAGATACCGAGCCATTGAATAACAGTGAATAAGTAAAGAAGCAAAGGATTGATCAGAGGTAATCTCACCTGGATCCTCTTACCCACTGAGCTAGGACTGCATTCTCACCCCACAAATGGTGATGTGGTCAGGGCTACATAGTGGAGTGATCTAGACCACAGGCCTGGTGTCAAACACACTCAGGTTTTCATGCTCAGCCTGCCACTTACTAGCTGAGTATACTTAGGCAAAGCACTTTATTAAATATATCATTTTGCCTCAGTTTTCTTAATCTAGTCCCTAACTTGCATGATTGTCATAAGGCTTAAATTAGAGAATGTTTACAAGTTGGTTAGCTAGTGTCATAACATACTAAGGCTCCTTTAAATGGTACCTACTAGGATTATATCAACTTTCTAACATCTATTTTATCCTCCACAATAGTAGGATGCATTTAGAATGTTTGCAGTCACATGAGAAATTTATAAGGAGGAAGGCAGACAGCCTTATTTCAGAACTGAACAAGACTCAGAAGCCAACGTTTAGCTGTGTTTAGAAAGTTTTGCAGATCTCAAGTGAGTAGCACTTTCATCTAGTGATTCTTTTATTCAAGATCATAGGAAATATCCATTTGGAGCCTTTAAAACTCTTTTATGCCGCGAAAATGCAGACACACAAACAACGCACTATGGGTAATCCTGGCCTCAAGAGATCTGTGAACAAAATAAAGCAACAAAGAACTGGCACAGAGCACTGTGCTGGCTCCGTTCATTTCCACACTGCTCTTGGAGCTGGGAGTGGAAAGGAGCAGGTAATTTCTTCCATGGGAGCAGCCAATGCATATTATTCTGGTGAAAGTACTTAAATACACAGAATAGAGACAGAATATGAAAAAGAGCAAACTGCTTTAAGGAAAAAAATTCACTCCTAAGGGAAAAGAATCATCTAGTTTTGTTTTATACCTGCAGAACAGAGATCAATGCTGAGACCTCGGTGTCTAGCACACAGCCCAGTATGTAACAGGTAAGAAAGTCAATTAACATTTCCTAGATGATTGATAGAAAAACACCTGAAAACTTTCTACCCAACAACCAAAACCATCTTCCAGGAAAGACACCTATTTGCCTGGATTCAGTCCTGAACATATGTACCACCCAACTGTAGTCACAAAGAGGAATTCTGTTTATAGAAAACTATTGTTAATATTTTTAAACCATTTGCTACATTACTATATTTTAAAAGCTTAAAATTTCACAGAGAAAAATAATTTTACCTTTTGGAATTACTACATTTTGGAATTACAAAATTTTGCCGAAAAATTCTTAAGACAGCTGAGTCTGCAGGGTTGAAAGACCAGCGGAGATGATGGTTACAAAGTATGCCAGATGGCTTTTGTCCCATAACACACCATCTTAAACTTGGTCGTTGCAAGGGGCGATTTTGTGCCAACTTGGCTAGGCCATGAACCCAGATATTAGGTCAAACACTCAGTGTAAATATTGCTGTGAAGGTATTTGTTAGATGAGATTAACATTGAAATCAGTGGATATTTAGTGAAGAGGGTTACCCCCATAATGTGAGTGGACTTCACCTAAATGGTTGAAGGCCTTAAGAGAAAGAAAGACAGAGGTCCCGGAGGGAAAGGGAATCCTGCCTCCAGGTGGTCTCTGGGCTCCAGATTCAGCATCATCTCTTCTCTTTTCTTCATCTCTTCTCTGGCTCTCCAGCCTGCAGCCTGCCAGTCCCCACAATCGTGTGGGCCAATTCATTATAATACATCTCTCCCTCTCATGTATCGTATCTTACTTCTTTCTCCGGAGAACCCCGACGACCATAATGGCTTATACAACAACCTTTATTTCACTTACAATTTCCGGGCTCGCAGTTTGAGCTGTCTTCACTGGGGCAGGCCTGATCTTCTGGGCCGGACTCAGCTGATCTGGACTGGGCTCATTTGTGCAATTTGAGCTGGCTTCATTGGGGCAGGCCTGATCTTCTGGGCCAGACTCAGCTGATCTGGACTGGGCTCATTCACACATCTGTAACTGTCATTTGTTAGTCAAACATTTAAACGATTTGCAAAAATGTGAAACAATTTCCCTTTTCTCACCAATTTTTGAGGGGTTTGGAAAATATAATTATTTTTCATAAAATGTTATTTACATTAAAATGTGTTGGTCTTAATATTATTTTAAATGAGTTGATAAATATTTTTTTACATTTCCCATTTTGGTATTCAATAAAGTAAATATAGATAGACATGACCCATGTGAATAAAAGCTGTTAAGTGTCCTCAATAATTTGAACTGTGTAAAGGGGTCCTAAGAATGAAAAGTTTGTGAATCACTGCTCAATACATGTCATCTGGAAGCAGCTAGTGTAGGATCCAGCCTAAATCTCCACGGCGTGAGGAAAGCCATGGCCATCCGGGCCTCCTTTAGCAGTGATCAATGTCATCCATTACGTAAAACCTATTGAGGGTTTGCTATGTGCCAGAAAGGCGAGGTTTGCTGTGTATGCAGGAGCCAGGTCATGGGAAGATTTGCAAACTTCACTAGGGCTTCAGCTTCACTTAGAAAGAAAAAAAAGTGACTGAAGTATTTTAACGAAGAGAATGATGTGTCTCGATTTATATTTTAGGAAGGTGATTACGAGGCTGTGTCTTTGATGGAATGAAGCCAATAAGGCTGCAGCCAAGAAGATCAGTTGGAGCTTTTAGCTGAAATCCAGGTGAGAAGAGATTAAGGCCTCCTAAATTAAGGCAGGAACAGAAGGAAAAGAAAGAAGAGCTTCCAGGAGCGATAAATGAGATAGATCTACTACACTGGGTGACTAAATGGGCACAAAAAAATGAACGGCATTTCCTTTCTCCAAAGGCAATTTTCCTCAAATTATTGACATTATCCGAAAGACATAAACAGGTATTTTTCAAAGGAAGATATACAAATAATCAATGAACATACTAAAATGTGTTCAGAAATCACTAGAATAAAAAAATGCAAGTATAAGCAATAAAATAAATTGTCTTTAACCAAATGGCAGTTTTTTTTTTAGCAACACCTGTTTTCAAAGATAGGAAAAGAGATATGCAAACATGTTTGACAGAAAACTGAATCAGTACAACCATTCTGAAAAGCATTTTAGAAGAATGTTTCAGGACTCTTCTAGGAATTTATCTTAAGAGAACACAGTTCATGTCATTTACCACGTTCTAATATACTATCTAACGGGCTTCTCTATGTTTACTGTAAGTCTCACCTACTGGAATATAAATACTGCAAGAACAAAGATGGAATCCCAAGCACATAGAAGAGTGCACAACACGCTGTAAGTGCTTCCTAACCCCACTGTAAGTGCTTCCTAACCCCACTGTAAGTGCTTCCTAAACCCCACTGTAAGCGTTTCCTAACCGCTTCCTAAATAAATAAAAGATGTAAGTACTTCCTAACCCCTTTCTAAATAAATAAAAGATGTCCACTAGGATTTACTTACCAAAGTGGTCACTATAGCATTACTTACAATGGCTAAACTGGATAAATCTAAATGTTCATCAACGGGATACTGGTTAACAAAATAATGATGCCACTGCCATAGGAGGCAAAATCACATAATCATTAGAAAGCAAGTCATTAAGGATGTTTAAGGCTATGAGAAAACATTCCCAATTTATTAATTGGGTAGAGAAGAATTAAAAAGTGTATATAGAGTAACATAGTAACCGTATTCAGAAATAGTAATAACACTAAAATGTTAACCATGATTACCTCTGGCTAGTGTGTTTATAGTCATTTTTATTTTCTTTTCTATGCTTTCCATATTTTCTATAACCAGGTAAATAAAATTTTGAACCATCCCCATATGCCACAAAACTCCCTGAGTATATTTTATCACACAGCATGGTGTAATAATAATGTTTACAATAATAACATACAGTTATTTTAAAAATATTACATTGTATTCAATATCCTCAATTTATAAAGAAGGAAAATCTCTGTGGTGGAAACATGGGTTTGATTAATCTCTATTTTTCCGTGTTCTTATTTCTAAATTCAGGAAGTGGGCAATGAACTCTTTAATGCTTTCCATCCTGGCAAGTTAAAATTTTAAAATGTTGAAGTTCTCTAAAGGTAACCTTCAATTACTTGTAAAAGTCATGTTTATGAAATACCTAGGTCTCCAATATTGCTGGTTAAATGAAACATTATTGCACATATTACAGAGGAAAAGGTATTTGTTTGACCTTTCGCAGTTTCAACACTGCAATTTAATATTGTATTTCACATACCATTCCAGCTGATCATATATTTTTAAAAATCGCAGTATTTTGAAAAGTCTATCCTGCATTAGTATCCATTTATTGCATCAATTAGCATCAATGCATTATACGCAATACCTGAAAGTTTTATAAATATTTTAATAGTCTTACAACAGGGTTCCAAAATACATTATGAGAGAAAGAGGCTGGGAGTTTGCATGGCTGGCTCAGGCTTGCATAAGGGAGCATGCCCACACTGACACATCCAATGAAAGAAACCGCAGTGCCAAAACCACAAGGCAGGCTCATAACGGTCTGACTGCATGCTGAACTACGTGTTTCTTCATCAATACACTCTGCTGACTAGCTTTTTGTTAAGTTCATGAGAAGTGACAACATTTAATCCTACCATTTCGAGGAAGAGAAGCCATGTCTACCCGTTGATCTTTTAGTTGTCATGAAGGAAATTGAACTTCAGAGCTTCCATCTTGCCTTCATCATGGCTCTTACCACACAGATGCACCTGTGTGAGATGTCTTGAGCCGCAGAGACCAAGACATGCTCAGAATTCAGCCAGAAGCTGACATTATAAACGGCAGTAGACTCAGTCGCTTGATACAGTTGTTAAATTCAGATTTTGACCATCTGGTTCTTTTATTTTACCAGTCTGCGTGTGCTTAAGATATTATTCTACTATTAAATTGAAGGAATACCAGGTTCACAATAAATAATCCAAATAAATTTGTCCATAATGTGTATATTTGGCTCTGTCTGCTGAGCATAGTACTTTGGCCCCGCTGATGCATCATCCAGGCATGTTTTTTGAATGTATTTTCTCCCCGTTTTCCCAGGCATCATGTTGTTCGCTAGCTCAAGGTGCATACCTTATTCTTTTGGTAAGATAATTACAAAGAACCAGTCCTAACTCCTATTTCTGCATGTATGATGACCTACATAGGCAGATTGAAAGTAAAGGTAGACATGGAATACCATGTTTTTAAATCTTTCAAAAATGCATTGATACTCTGGCAAGAAAGTAAGAAATATTAAGAATTATGAATCTAAATCAAGCCAGAAACCTGAAAAGGTAAGCAGAGCACTAAACCTATTTGTCATCATTGGGCATGTGGGAACTTGAGGAGTTTCAGCAACAACTTTTGTGGTCTGATGGGTGGGTGGTGACAAACAAAGACAAAAGCTCAGGCCAGCCCATTAGCCCACCCAGCTCTTCAAAAAGTGGGAAGCCTGAGGTCAGAGCAAAGATTAATCATTGTTTTCTTTCTTTTTTAAAAAAAGTTTAGAGTCAGGGTCACCCTGTTGCCCAGGCTGGAGTGCAGTGGTGCGATCACATCTTACTGCAGCCTCAAACTCCTGGGATCAAGCGATCCTACTGCCTCAGCCTCCTGAGTATCTGGGACTACGGGCACACACCACAACTGCCTATTTTTATGTATTTAGATAAGGGGTCTCAAACTCCTGGCCTCAAGCAATTCTTCGATCTTAGCCCCCTGAATAGCTGGCATTACAGGCATGAGCCACCAGGCCCAGCCATCCAAAAAAAAAGGTACCCACATTTGCTATTTAGAACATTCCAGAGGCCAAATGAAAGGAGACATCTCAACTCTGCTCCCAGGAAGCTAGGGCAGAGGCTTGACCAATCAGAGCTCTGGCCAGCTGTAGAACCTTGGCCAATCAGAGCACTGGCCAGCTCTAGGATCTTGGACAATCAGAGCTCTGGCCAGCTCTAGGATCTTGGCCAATCAGAGCTCTGGCCAGCTCTAGGATCTTGGCCAATCAGTGCTCTGGCCAGCTGTAGGATCTTGGCCAATCAGAGCTCTGGCCAGCTCTAGGATCTTGGCCAATCAGTGCTCTGGCCAGCTCTAGGATCTTGGCCAATCAGAGCTCTGGCCAGCTCTAGGATCTTGGCCAATCAGAGCTCTCGCCAGCTCTAGGCTCTTTGCCAATCAGAGCTCTAGCCAGTTCTAGGATCTTGAGAAAGCAATGCCAAGCTCTGAGGAAAGTAGCGACTGTGTAAAGTCCATGCAGCAGTGGAGTTAAAGCACAGCAGGATCAGGCCAGCGATTGTCCACTAGCAGTGGTGCTAACCATGCGTTCTCAGCTGCCTAATTTCACTTAGTTTCCACACATTTTTTGAGTATGGATCTCCAGACGCGTGATTGATTCTTCCAAATATAGTTCTAATAAATATTGCTTCTTCTGAATTTCTTACTTAAATTAGCCAGACTTTATTTCTGTTGTTTGCAACTGAGCACCTCGCTGATACAGTCTTCCCCCAAACTCTGAAATCTTCCATAACCAAGCCAAAGAATTCCATCGGGGGAGACGTCACCCAGGGAAGCTTAAATCTAAATAAAAGATAATAATCTGGAAGAAAGCTTTCTCACAATTACAGCTGTTATGCACCAGGGACCTATCCAGGGTCCTGACCTTCCTTACAACTCATGGTCTCGAAAGCCTTGTGCTCCTCCACCTCCTGTCACGTATCTTCTTAAATCCTCATCCACACGACTGTGACTCATGACCACTGCAATAACTCATCTTAAACCTTCATGGTCCACTCATACCCTGAGTAATTCACACCAGGAAGAATTATCATGCTCATTTTCCAAATCATAAAGCCAAAATTACTTTAGTGGGTTGACAGTTGACAATGAAGAATGCATCCTAGGAGTTCACAATTAACTTTGTGAAACTGGTAATTTGTTTCACTTTTTTGTCATAGTAGTATCCTCATTCTTTTTTAAAATAAATATATATTAAGCACGTACAGTGATCCCAGCACATTGCTAGGTGCTCTAATTGGCCTGAAGAAGTGGTCCTTGCATCAGGCGGTTCTGTAGTAGAACAAAGGTCTTAATTTGAGATCTAATTGATCCAGTTAATATGTGTGAGTTCAGACAACTCCCTTAATGCTTTAAGGCTCAGCTTCCTCATCTATAAATTAGCGTGATACTCATCTTCCCTGTCTGCCTAAGGGTTGTTGTAAAGATCAAATAATGATTGTTGCCAGTAAAATCATAAAATGTTCTTCCAAGCACTTGGAAGGAAGAAACTTAAGATTACTCTTGAATAATTAGATTGTGAAATCAAGACATAAAGACTCAGAACCAAGCTAGGTAATGTCTCCTTAAGAAAACAGAATGAATTGCACCCAGATCAGCAAAAATGAACAATAATCTCATTAATCACATGAAAAGACCTAATAATTGGATGTGCCAATAGTAAAATGGATTGTCAAAAAGTAAAAATAAAAAAGTCAGAAATGCAAACATTGGAAGAATTCTAGAGAGCTTTAGCTGAATGGCTTCAATAGAATGGTGACCTTAGTAAGGCCATCTGCATTACAGAGATGAAAACTTAGTAATGTTTTTAGCCTTATCTTTGCAAAGCAATCACCTAGAAATTTTTAGACTTCTAAAAAGTTCTGTCTACAGTGTGATGTTCAAATGGAAATTTTGCCAATGTGAGCATTGTGGGTTCACACTGGAAAATCTGTAATTTAAAATTAGTCTTGTAAGCTCAGCTTCTTTGAGCCCAATACTGAGAATGATTTTTTAACAAAATCAGATTTCTGAGCCTACGAGATTGAGAGGAAGACTTAGGAGAGGAAGACTTAGGCAAGGAAGACTTAGGAAAAGAAGCCAACACTCTAAGTCTGACATTTCAGGGCCAACTAATTCCTTATGTGACAACTCTTTTCTTTTGCACACTGAACCTAAACTTGACTTTTTTTTCTTTTGAGACAGGGTCCCACTCTGTCATCCAGGCTGGAGGTCACTGGGGTGGGGCAATCACAGCTCACTGCAGCCTTGATCTCCCAGGCTCAAGTGATCATCCCATCTCAGCCTCCTGAGTAGCTGGGACAATAGCTGAGCTTGACTTTTAAGAGTAGTTAATATTTGGATAAAAGGAGAACATGATAAGTGCAAAGTTATGTCATTGGTAAGCAAATGGAGATAAGAATCTGCTCAATGCATACAAGATTCAAAGAACAGACAACTCTGGCTTTTGCAAAGGAGTCAAAATGATGGAACTAGAAAGTCAGGGTGAGACCAAGTTCTGGAACACCTTAAATAGCAAGAGAAGGTGTTTGAAGTTAATTCAGTAGGTAATAAAAGTGACTGAAAGTTTTAAGCAAAGAATATCGTAATGTAATGGGTCTGGAGAGGTTATTAATATGGCACTGATGGGCAGGAGATGAGAATAACTCAAGGACAAAAGGCCAGTGAAGACATTACTGGAAAAAATCCAGCTGCAAACTTACTTAGGATTTGACTGGGCGTGTTTGTTATTTCTGACCAGTGCCCCATTTTTCCTATGGGAAGAATGCTTTCCTTTATGTGGACACTGCTTCTTCTCACTCTCCAACTGCATCTCCAACCCCATCCCTAGCTTCTGCTCATTGGTCAAAGATTAGACTCATGATCTCCACCAATGCCATCAAAGTCCTCCAGTGAGATTTTTCCATTGATTCCTGTCTAAAAGTGAAGCCAGTCACCTTCTAGTCATACTTGAATGGTGCAGCTTAATTGTATGGAAAACTTATTCCAATACTATTGCAAAATGCTAGTCGCCTACTTTAGGAGCTGTTGTTGCTCCACTAGCTGCTTCGTTCTGCACATCATCCTACAATTTCCTTCTCTTCTCCTCATCCCAATCCAAGGACTCCCAATTATTTCCAATTCTCAACTAGCAGGTCACAACTTGCAACTTTTTATCCATGCTCATTTGAGACATTTTAGTTCAAAACATTGTTTTTCAATTTTATTGTTTTTCAGATGGAGTCTTGTTCTGTTGCCCAGCCTGGAGTGCAGTGGTGCGATCTCGACTCACTGCAGCCTCGGCTTCCCGGGTTCAAGTGATTCTCCTGCCTCAGCCTCCTGAGTAGCTGGGACTACAGCCGCCCACCACCACACCTAGCTAATTTTTGTATTTTTAGTAGAGATGGGGTTTCACCATGTTGGCCAGGCTGGTCTCGAACTCCTGAGCTCGTGATCCACCTGTCTCAGCCTCCCAAAGTGCTGGAATTACAAGCATGAGCCACCATGCCTGGCCTGTTTTTGAATTTTAATTAAGTCTGATACAAATTAATATTCTATTCTAAAATCTCATCAGTGGCAAAATAGTCTAATTACTATACCAAAGGAAAGTGATGAATTAGAATAAGCTTGTTATTAATGCCTTCAAATTCCTTCCTTTTAATTTTCATATTTCTTACTTATTCCCTGCTGCACCTGCAGTCACAGCCATCTTCCTTAATGTTTGTTTTATGTAATAATAGAAAGCTGTTTTCAGCTACTGGGGAGGCAGAGGCCAGGAGATCGCCTGAGCCCAGGAGTTTGAGACTGCAGTGAGCTACAATCACACCACTGCATTCCTGCCTGGGCGACAAAGCAAGATCCTGTCTCTAAAAAGAATTATAAATAAATAAATAAATGTGAGAAAGCTGTTTTAGCAAAACTTCTCTCTCCAACTACATTTGGAGAAGTACGTGCATAGAGGTATTCCCAGGACTTCAATATTCTCAATGCCAGCATTCTCCACAGGCAATTCTTGAATGCCTGACAAATTACAATGAGGAAGGAATCTATTCACCACCTAGATCAGTGGCTGCCAAATACTTGACTCTCAGGACCCCATTAGGCTCAAAAAGTATCCTGGACTTCAAAAAGTTTTGTTGATTTGATTTATATTTATACTTATTAATATTTATCATAGAAAAAACACAAACTAACAATCTAAAAATATTTAGTGATTTATTTTAAAATAGTAATAATAAACCTATTACATGTTAATTAAATAACATTTTTATTTAAAATCTATTTTTTTTTTTTTTTCAGATGGAGTTTTGCTCTTGTTGCCCAGGCTGGAGTGCAATGGCCCGATCTCAGCTCACCTCAACCTCCGCCTCCCGGGTTCAAGCGATTCTCCTGCCTTAGCCTCCCGAGTAGCTGGGATTACAGGCATCCGCCCAGCTAATTTTTGTATTTTTAGTAGTAGCTAGTCTCCAAATGTGATCTGGAGAATAAGACCACATTTGGAGACTGGTTAACCTACAATATGTGTAGACAACACAATCCCAAATTCTTAAGTGGATACAATTTTCTCACTTATTTCTATTCTTTTCTTTTGCTCTTAAAATGCCTAGTGCCCAGGGTCTTCATTCCCCCTTCCGGTTGTGCAAAACCCTTTCCCCACCGTGACACCAGTGTGGGACTGACCTGTCCGTAGTGCCACCCTTTCCCCGCCATGACACCAGAGTGGGGCCGACCTGTCCGTAGTGTCACTTGTTCTCAGTGTGCTAATTTCTGTAAGTCAAAATATATCTATTTTCTGATGGTCCCCTGAGGATCCAAATAAGTAACATGCTAGTTTAATGAACTTGGCTGTTAATTGGTGATAATCATTTAATGGCTCCTCCATTCTTCATACAATATTGTATTTAAACAAATCTTCAGTGTCTCCACCCAGACAAATTACTTATATGTAAATGTACCCAGTGAGAGGACTTTCGTGTCACTTTCCCCAGATGACATCTCTTCTCTCTGTGCAGAGTCCTGACCCTATGCACAAGTGTGCAATGAATATCGTCATGTATAATGCATATATAAGACATTTGAATAAATGCTTAGATTATTTTGGATTCCTTAGTAAATGCCAGTTTTGATCATGAAAAGTAGACAGAACCTAGACAAAAAAAAAAAAATACTGGCAGAAAAACCAAACAGCAACAATACTACAAACTCAGATGCACTGACATCTGAGTAACAATGATAGCCTCAGTTCCTTAAAACCTCAATATAGGCTTAACTTTTTTTTTTGAGACAGAGTTTTGCTTTGTTGTCCACGCTGGGATGCAGTGGCGCAAATTTGGCTCATTGCAACCTCTGCCTTCCAGGTTCAAGCAATTCTTGTGCCTCAGCCTCCTGAGTAGCTGGATTACAGGCACTCACCACCATGCCCAGCTGATTTTTTGTGTTTTAGTGGAGACGGGGTTTCATCATCTTGCCCAGGCTGGTCTCGAACTCCTGAGCTCAGGGAATCCACCTGTCTCGGCCTCCCAGAGTGTTAGGATTACAGGCATGAGCCACCATGCCCGGCCAACTTTTTTTAATAATCGAAAATTAATAGCATTTTTTGGCTGGGCACAGTGGCTCACACCTGTAATCCCAGCACTTTGGGAGGCCGAGGCAGGCAGATCACTTGAGCTCAGGAGTTCAAGACCAGCCTGGACAACATAGCCCCCATCTCAAAAAATAAAATTAATGGCATTTAAAAAATATTTACAATAGAAGAGCTTTTAAAACTATAAGCAGATTCTGGGCATTGGTTGTGAGCATCTTGTCCATCCAAAAAGAGCAGAAAATGGATCTGGGTTGACTTCACTGAGTCGCTTGAAACTCACAGAAAGATGACATGGAGCTACTGAGCCATGGTGTTAATGAGCATCACTTTCCACAGTTGCCTCTAGACAATGAGGCCAGATGCTCGTGGTGCAGGATGGGTAATTAATGCCTCCAGTTGTCCCGTGTTTCCTGAGGAAACAATGTTTAAGAACTGCCACAAACTGCGCCTCACAGATTGGAGTAGCTAAGGAAGAAAACCTCAGAAGATTTTACGTCACTTTTTTTTTTTGAAAAGACACAGACCAATCTATTTAGAAAAATATTTTTATTATATGGGAAGCAAAATATTTTTTTTTCTAAAGCACCAAATGTACAGCATCCACTCAAGGGGAACAAAAGGTCTCCCAAACTCTCCAGCCTCACACTGGGGCTCAGCTCTCCGGTAACTTGATCCATTTGTAACTCCAGGCTCTTTCCACGAGTTGTCCTCTAATTCTATAAAATCCAGTTGTACAGCCAGAGGAAAACTCAGAACAGGCACACAAATTTTTGTACTTTGGTTACTGAAAGGGATTTTGTCTTGTTAATCTTGAAGGATTGGCAGAGCAATTTTATCACATTTTCTGAAAAAAATCTATACAGATTTAAGGTCGCATTCTGGATTTAATTGAAGTAACCTTTTGTACAATCTAGCTTTAATGAAGTGCAATGAAGTTAAACTCCGTGGGGGCCATTAATCTGAAACACTCCATTTAAGAACTACAAGGGGAGTTTTTAATAAACAGTGTGAACTAATGCCCATGTGGAAAGGTAATTGAGAGGGAGCTGGTGTCTGGGCCAGATTGTTATTAAACCCTTATCACAGGTAAAGCTGAAACCCCAATGGCAAGCTGCTCTGTGATTTATCGTGCCCTTCTCATCCTAACTTTAAAGAAAAGGCTACGTTTAATAATGAAAAAATCCTGTGACTAAGCTATAAAATAACTGAGCAATTACTTAGAATAATTTATACAGTGCAATACATTGACCTTGCTTTAAGCATAAAATCTACAAAATAACTTTGGCCATAAAACTGTGAACTACTAAAAGTACTAAAGGTTTTAACCATTTTTATTGGGTGGTGCCTGGGGGGACCATAAATACGTGTTACACTCTAATCACAGGGCTTAAGAAAATTCATAATTTTTTATCTTAAAATGGCTTTTTGAGAAAAGTTTTCTCAATTTGGCCAATTGCAAATCACGAAGTCTAATGCCGTTACTTTAAAAGGATTATATATAACGTCCACAATATTATTTCCCCATGTGTGAGTTCTGCCTCACTCTCTCTTTTGACTCCCAGCCATGGCTGATGAAGGAAAAATGGCAATAACTTTTCTGTATTACCTATTTAAATATTTACTCTTTTGAAAAAAGAAGGCAGTGGGATCTGTTGCAACAGAAAGGATTGATACTATCTCCCAGCCCACTGAGACAAGGATGCGTCTATTTCTGGGTAAGTAAATACATTCCTCCCCTCAGCAACGCACAGTCAATGTTTCCACTTTCCACAGTGGCTTTCAACAGCAAAGTTCAGCCTTTACTCCAAACTGGCATCAGAGCAGGACATAACCAAGCATAACATATGACTCTCATTGCCTTCAATTTTTCAATCACTGCAGCTGAGCAAACACGTTTTCCCTGAAGGCTTTGAATCATGGAATTATCCCCACAGATCGTCTTCCAGTTGACTTTAATTCCACTAAATCCAGTCGATTTCTGCAAGATTGGAATATCAGCACATTGACACCCTGTGGAAACAAATTTTCAAGGCAGCAACTTTTGACACAAAACTATTTATTCCTAAGGTTTATCTTGCTTCACCCCTGATAAAATGAGCCAGTTTAGCTCCCAAAGGAAAACAAAGCCACAGGATGTTGTCCCTGGGTTGGCTAAACAGAGATACTTGCGGGAAACCTCACAGACAAAAATACTGCCTGAATATACCATCTTTGTTACTCGTAGAGCTACAGGCATCAGAAAGTTACTGCATGGAAGCAAAAAGGTTTTATGGTATAATGCAGTAATCCATGATTAAATCTCTTAAATATATCATCTGAAGGTTCATTAAAAGACTGGGGCACAGGATGGGACATAGGAGATGATCTGGGAGTTCCAGTCCCGGTGATGCCCTTCAGAAAATGAGCCCCAGGGACCTCAGGGAGGTGTGGCCTCCATTCAGGTTATCTGAGCTAGGGACTGGCTAGAGTTGCATGCGGTCACAGAAATGGAGGATAGTGTACTGCAAAAAGGAAAAGACAGCACCATTGTTCAGAACATGGCCCTGTTGCTGGGTCTCCAGAAGGCAAAATGAGCTTCAGAGGAACAACACAGCCATGAATAAAAGCCTGATTTTTCACCAGCCCACAGACCAGCCAATCTCCAGCTGGAGCCCAATTCATACAGGAGAAAGCAGCCTTTCTGGTGAGGGACCATGTAGCTGTCTTCTTCTAGGAATGGGGAATTGCCTTAGGAAAGAGACTAAAATTTCAACATTTAGCTCTACACACCCTCACAGAACTCCACTAACACACCATAAAAGTAATTTTTTTAGGTCCTAGACCTGTAAGGATATGGAGAAAGATCAAAGAAACCATAATTAGAAGGCAGAAAGGCAGGTGGTAACTGACTTGGTGGACCAAAGAAAGATGACTCCTCACTCAACCAGCAGTAAGGAAGCCAGTGGCCAGTTGGATTTGAGCCATGAGATTCCCAGAGGTTCAGCAGGGAACCCTGAGGTGCTGGAAGTAGAATGAAGGTGAAGGACGGCTTGGTAGCCACTTTAAAAACAGATAGACTTCCAGATCCACACTCTAGCAAGAAAATGGAAGGCTAGTCATTTGAGAAGATAAATGTAAATGTTCAAGATGTCGTCAGAGATGGTTATGTTGAAAAGGGAAGATGAAGTGAAACTGGATCCTGGATGCTGAGGCCCTCCTTCGACCCCAGCAATCTTCTTCCCTTTAGTTCCCAGATCATTGCTAGACGTTCACCCTCTGCAGAAGATTGTAAGGTTTTCTCTGAGGACTCTGTTCCGCCCAAGAGAAGAGACAAAAGTCACTAACATCAAGGATTCCCCAGTACAACCAGTATAACCAGTATAACCATCAAGGATTCCCCAGTACAATGGCTCAACCAGATCATCCTACATCAGAGCCCATATAGCAACCCACAAATGTGCTCAGGGCTTCCAATCAGCTTCTTCATCTTCTACTTTTAAATACGACCAGAGATACAAGGAAATCTAACCATCTGAAAAAAACATCACTGACCTGAAGGAAAGAAAAAATAAACACAAAAGCATGCTAAACACATTTTGGAGGATACTATAGAAAAACTATTTAGAGAGAATACAATGTTTCCCTCAAAAAGATTATTACTATGCTCAGAAAAGTAAGAGGAAATAGTGCAATCATGAAACAAGAACAAGATGTTATTAAAAATGAACATTGAGAGGACTGAAGCAAGCTCTTGGAAATGTAAAATACGATAGTAAAATGTTGCCTCCCCACAAGAAACTATAGAAGTTTAGAAAAAAGAACTGAATAAACCTCACAGGAAATAGGGCAAAATTTCTAAATTATATAAAATAAAGAAGAAAAGGCCATCAGTGCAGGATGATCATTGTCTGGTAGGAGTTCCAAAATGAGCAAAATGAGAAAATTCCCGCAAGACCAATGTGGGTTGATTGCTACCTTCAAATATATTTTTGTCTGCAGATCCCAGTAACTGCTTCCTTCCCATGACCCCAAACCTAGGTATGGAAAAAGACTTTTGCTCGTACTGGCCCCAAGTTTCTTCAGCCTTCCACATCTTTGTAAACCATCCCTTTATTAAATGCTTCTTGAAGTTTCTTACTAGAGCTTGCCCTCTGAATCCTGACAGATAGAGTCCCATGCATTCTGTACCAGCAAGCTCCTGGAGGAGGTGCATCCCCAAAACAAGGAGGTATTCGAAATCAGAGGAAGGCTCAAGCAAGGAAACAGAGGAGCAAAGTGAGAAGGGAATCCCTACAGTGATGGTGGAGGGAAAGTCCAGGAACATACAGCTGAGCGTGGGGCCTGAAAGCAAGAACCCTGCATTGAATCAGGCCCAAAGTTTCTGGAAAAGGTTTACTCAAGAAGACAGAAGTCTCAGAACACCTAATGTCTGGGAAATTTGAGAAAGGAGATTTGGACAACTAGCAGGGAGTTTGGAGTTAAATTAGTAATCAAAACATACAGACATAAACAATGAAAAAAACAGCTATTAGTCCAGAAAAGACAAAAAGTCATATAGGAAAGGAAAAGCAATCATAATTTGCCACAGGCTCAGCACTGAGTGACAGTTACAAAAGTCAAAATAAATGAAAACAATGAATATTGATCTAACCAAAAGTGTAACCAATGGGGAGGATGCTTGTGGCAGAGGGAGGAGGAAAGAAAGGAAAGCCCTCGCTTCCATAAATAATGCCTGAAATTGAAAATTTCTTGAAAAGTAGCAATAAAAGCACGCTATTTTAAAATATAGAGGCAAACACCAAAAAAAAGAAAAAAAAGGCAGTAAAGTTTAAAGCTATTATATTTCCTCTGGAAAAGATGTAATGGAAGAGGAGGATAGCAGATTACTATTCTGCACAACAGACCCTATGGAATTATTTAATTCTTCACACTATACATATGCAACTTTAAAAAAAAAAAGAATTAAAACTAAATGGAGGTCAGAAGAAAAAGGGTAAGGAAGAGAAGAAAGGGAGAGAAGGAGGAAGAAGATAGGGAGGGAGACTTAGTTGAAAAAAAATTAAACTGGCTCAAATAAAAATGGTAGGGCACAGACAGCAGAATGTGGAGCCACCTCAGCTTCCAGAGCCCGCCTCGCTGCAGCTTCCAGAGCCCGCCTCCCTGCAGCTTCCAGAGTCCGCCTCACTGCTCCCTGGCCCTCTCTCCTGCTGGCTGGCCACATGCACCAAAACTTGCTGTTCAACGGGATATGCTCATAGCTATGGTTTCCAGCAGTCTCTCCTGCCCTCAGCTAAGCCTGGTCCTGGCAACTCCCCACCACACCCCACTGTGCCCGACTGCAATTCTTGGGCACTAAATCCTCCCTGTCTCCTGAAAACACTCATCTGTTCTCCAACAAGGAGCACACAGCACCTGGAACTTTGTGGAGATTCTCCCTGAATTTCATACCACAGTTCTCCACCTTCAACCTTCCCTCCTCTAGGACCCGTGGTTGGTTTTTTAACACTTATGGGGGTGTCTGTTTTATGCAAGTTACTTCCACTGAGCTTAGATTTTGCATATTCAGAAATAGACGTTTAAAAATGAAAATAAACAAAAATAACTTCTAAAAAATATGTGCTAATTGCTTAGCTTGTGCAATTGAACTACTGAACTTACCACTGACATGCACTGTGGAGAAAGAACCATCCTCTCGGCATTGAGCATCAGCTTATCCAAGCCAGCAACGAACCCACACAGCTGTGCCCACCTTGTTCTGTTATACAAGATCCCCACAATGGGAGTTACCTTTCACATTTCATCCAGTATTTTCATCCTCAGCTGGATTTGCAATCATAGATATCAGCTCATTTGACCTTCTGGCAGAATCTCTTTTCTACCTCTCAAGATCTAAGTTGACATTGAATCAAATATCTTATTAACATATGCAGACAAAACTATGGGCCCAACTGAAATAATTTCTCATTTGCCATGCTATAAGTTCACTTGTGCACCTAACAGAGAGAGTCTACATTAGACAGGATGCCAGGTGTGGTATCTGCAGAACAATTGGACCTTAATCTCCCCATTGTCAGACTGACTGATTGCATCATATCCAGGTCCCATCACATAGTTACTGGGCTCACCAATACCACTATTGATAGTCAAATCTCCCTCCTGTAGTCAACCTGAGAAAAATCTATTAAGTGAGACACAGGAAAATCCCTAGACACACCTTACAAGGACTAAGAGTCCTCATAGCATGAGCTGATAAATGAGGAAGCCTAGGAAAGTTCTAGCAAGTGGGGAATCCAATGAGACTGTACAGCTAAGGAGTGTGACCTACCTGCCTTGGAAAATCAGAAAAGATTGCCTCAGAAAAGTCCTTTAGCTTTCCATAGACTTAAATATCAAGGTTATCAAGGTTATGTTGTAAAAAGCAGAAATTACTGCCTACCCTGCAGAAGGGAGTGTAAAGATTGGGTGCTAATGACACTGAAAGGAGGAGTGACCTCTGGGCTGAGTCTCCAGGAAGGACCCCCAGCAACCCTGCAGAGCCATCCAGAGGGATGGCCCAGTCAGGAAGGCAGGAATCCAGAGACAACTGCCTTCTATACCCACCCAAGCTGGTGGCCAGACACTGCACAGGGCTACAGAAAGACCCTCCTTCCCCACCGCAGAGCCTGCCAGCAGGAGGACACCTCCTTCTCTGTTCTGACTTGCAGTCCGTACCTAAGAGAATCTGATTGGTGAGGCCAATTTGCATCCAGAAACTCAGGCAGAAGGGTATCTGGGAAACGTAGTTTTCGGCTCTGCAGCCGCTACAGTCCAGGAAGATGCAACCAAAGGAGGAAACAGGTGCTCAGCCTTCATCTACCACAGATTAGGTAATTAATCTAATGCACCTGATTTACCACACAGGCCTCAAAGCACGGCTTTCCCAACAGCCTCTACCTGTAGTCATATTTCGGGAAGACTTCCTCACCTCTGTCAGCTGAGACATGGAACTGCACCCACAGCTGTTGGTGCAATAAATACAATAGCTGAAACTACTGTGTGTTTGCTTTTACACTACTGTGTGCCCACTTTAAAGTTTAAGAAGCTGAGGAACAGAGAGGTAAAATAGCATGCCCAAGGGCACAGTCACAAGTGGTTGGAGAAAACTGGCTCCGTAATTTCTGATCTTACTCTCTAAACTATATAAACGAAAACCATATAAAAATTTACAGTCCAGACTATCTAGCCTGAGAGATGTAGGAGGCAGGCCTCGGGCTTTTACCAATGGCCCTGTGCCATCTAACTTCAATGATCTGATATCTCACTGAGCCCATATCTTAATCTCCTGCCTGGGGGGACCTAGATGGAAAGAGGAAAAGGGCTTGCTGCCACTGTCCTCTCTCCTTGTTCCCAGAAAGCATTAGACCGCAGAAGGTGGAATGCTAAAGAGAGAGGCAACTGCAGGATCAGCTCCCGAGGAGCCGCAGTTTCACAAGCGGTGTGGTCATCCCCACAGACAATGAATAATGCACCATAAATAAAGACTTGGACACTCCCACAAGATCTAGAGTTGTGCCTTTTTCTATGCCTGGCCCTTTCAAAAGTCCCATCTCAGAAATAGAGGGGTGGAGGAAGACGTGAGCTCCCCACAGTAACAGGGCAGCAGGAGCTCCTGTTCCCACAAGGGAGCCTCAGACCTCCACACCCAGAGCTTGACTCCAAGCTCCACCAGGCTCAACCTCTACCCATTGCTCCGCAAAAACTCTGGTCCCATAGACCTCCGTCCAGAAATCCTGCCTATCCAGACTCATGCTGACTAGATCCTGCCTTTGCCCGACCCCACCCTGACACCAGTGTATTTAATTCAATCTGTGTTCACACTGTTGCCCTTCCAAACCTGCCACAGCCCCTCAAGAACAGGATGTGGGAACGTACAACAGAATTTCTCTCCCCTCTCAATTCTCAGTGTTCAATTCTTGCAGCTTCTATAACTGCAAAGATAGGCGTGCAGACCCTTTAGTGAGCAAAGAAATACAGTTCCCAAGAAGAAATTGATCTTAAAGTGTTTGAGTTAGTTTTCCTCAACAAATGTAATGTTAAAATTTCAGAAAAAACTTTAAGACTTTTCAAAGGCTCATTGGACATCAAATAGTTCTCACATAACTGGCTACAGTGTAAATTAATCAAAATTACATACCTTTAATGTCCCTTAAAATGCAGTATTTCATATTTTTTAGGGGTCCATTGAACCTTCAGAATAAATCTGGGGAGGGAGAACTAAGAAAGGACAAATTAAGGGGATAGAGATTTGGGGAAGAGTGAAGACGGCAATTATGGGGAGAACATAATACAGGGAGAGAACGGAAGAACTTGAATAGTGAGAAGAGGGAATGGAAGCAGAGAGTAAGGATGTGTAAGGAGAGTAAGGAGAGTAAGGCAGGAGGCAGTGAGAAAGGAATGGACAACAAAAGACACTTGCTCACCACCGATCCCCAACACACACACACTCACACACTCCCACACTCACACACTCACACACACTCACACACTCACACGCACTCACACACTCCCACAGACTCACACACTCACACTCTCACACACTCCACACACACACACCCACACACGCTCACGCATACACTCACACACTCACATGCACACTTGCTTGCACACACTTACACGCACACACAATTACACACACTTGCAAACACACACATGCTCGCACGTGCACACACACACACGCACAATCTCACTTTGCCTGTTTCCAAACTTAACGTTTTCCAGCCAGTGGGTCCTCACCGGTTAAGTTAATGTGGAAAAGACTATTCTGTCATCCAGAGAACCCACAGCTCAGTGCCTGTTCTGAGGACACAGGCATGTGACTTTCAGCAAGTTGCTGACAATTTCATCATCTCATCTCTATGTAATCAGGGTGATAGGTTTCCAGACATGAGAGTACTGGGACTCCATGAACAAAGAGAAGAAGACACTGAGGCAGAAAATAAGAACCAAAGTACAAGAAGTGAAGATTAAAGTTCATCTCGCTCATTCAGAATCCTGGCCTCGAGAGAACTGCAGATGGAGTCCAAGGGGCTCCACCACTAGAGTAAGAGTTAACGTTTCTGTTTCCATTAGGAACGGCAGGCTGATGCCCGGGCAGATCATTCTGAGGAGAACACTCGCTACTCTCCTCCAAAAGAAGCCGCCCAAAAAAAGGGGGAGGCAGGAGGCTGACGAGGTCCTGGGTGTCTTCCTCTCCCCCAAGTCTTCTGAACTGCTTTCACCCGTGCCCAGCGGCCTCTTCTTCTGGTCTCCCCTCCAGGTCCTAACTGTTGCTAGCAATCCCCTGCTATGATGGTGAACTCAAAAAACAAAACAAAACAAAACAAAAACAATGTCTGAGACGGGTGTGAATCCATTTAGAGGCTTACTTTGCCAAGGTTGAGGACGTGCCTGGGGAAAAGAGACACAAGTCACAACTGGTCTGTGGCCAGCACTTTTTTTCAAAGAGGATTTTGAGGGCTTCAGTATTTAAAGGGATAAAGTAGGCAGGCGGCAAAGAAGGGAAAAAAAGAGAGGGAAGGTATAGTCACATTTTTTGAGGCTTCGATTAGCAGTCAGTGAACCTACATGTCACACGTGACAAGGAGGAGGTAGAGGAACAATCGATTATGTATTCACCTCGTGCTGAGTAAATCTGCACTTTATGTGAGATAAAATAAACACGGAGTAGAGGAAGAAGACAAATATGCATTCATCTCAGGTGGGCGGAGGGACTGTGCCTCGTCTCCTCTTGTCCAGTACCATGAAGATAAGCTGTTAGTTTACTTTGTCAAGGTGAGGGAGGCCCCCTGGGGAGACACGTGGCCTTCTTTCTCTAGCTGTCTGTTTAGGAACAAAAGGAAAGGCGGGGTTTTTTTTTACATGACTCAGTTTCCAAGTTCAACTTTTCCCTTCAGCATAGTGAGTTTAGGGTCCTGAGATTTTCTTTTCTTTTCACAATAGAGGTCATCATAGGTGATCCTCGGTGATGATGAGGATGATACAATGATGGCGATGACAACCCAAAACTGTAATAACTAGGAGAGAAAAGAGAAAAGGGGACAGAAAAGAGAAGGGAGAAAAGAAGGAAGAATAAGGAGGAGCAGGAAAGAAGATGCTACGCCCCACTAGCAGTGCTGGCTGCTTCGTTTCTTCTTCTTTCCCAAATATTTGTGTCATGCCTGCCTTCCACTTAGCTTCTTGACAGTGGGGTCAAGGCCAACATGACGCGCCCCCCCACCCAGGGAGTTTACAGAGTAGGAAGGATTCCAACACCTCCTGATGCACCGTGGCAGGTGCCGTGATAAAAACGCAGTTACACAGATACACCCGGCCAGGGATGGTGGTCAGGGACCTCACCACATTTGTGTGCTACAACTATGAGTGGATCAGAGGGGAATGAGGTTGTGGAGGCAGGATGACCATGAACAGATTATCATAAGAAACAAGGCGAGAATGTTGGTGGCCCGGGCTGGGGCAGAAAAGGTGAGGAGTTGGTGCTGTACTGATGGAATTTCGTGGTTAAAGAGGTGTGGAGGGCACAGCGGAGGAGGAAGTCAAGGACAAACTCCAAGTGTGTGGATTGGCCTGCCGGGTGGATGGTGATTTCATTTACTAACTTTCAGGGCACACAAGAAATGGTACGTGCTGAGGATGAGTTCAACTTTGGACAGATGAGTTTTAAATACATAGGTGTCAACTGATTGTAAACAACCAACGGGTAAGTGAGCATATAAGGCTGCTGTTGTGAATGGAAAGAGATGCTATCAAGGAAACAGGATTTCTGTGCAGCCTGGAGGGCTCAGGTGCAGTCGGAGATCATAATAGTGGCTCCAGTCTTCACAATGGCCTACATTGTCTCTTCTGATTCTTTTTCAATGCTGGGTGGTATGTATCTTTATCCTCGTTATTAAGAGGAGAAAAGGCTCAGAAAGCTTAAGTAGTGTGCTTCAATTCTCACAGCTTGTCTAGACCGGACTCAAATGCAGATCCGTCACAGCCTAAAGCTGAGGTTCCAGCCACCACACCGAGCTGTCTTCAGTCAAGAGTTAACTCATCTCTCCCCAGAGCCATTGTCCTGAAGATGCGAATATAATGATGATGAAATGTGTCCCTCTCCTTCAAGAAAATCAGAGTCTAGTGGACAGGGAAGGACATATAAGTAGCTACTAACTTGTGATGTGCTGAAAATAAAATAGCGTCATTATAAATAAACAAAATCCTCAACACTACAGCGGAGTGGAGTCCAGGGAGCAGAGAGAAAACTGAGCTGGGATGGATTATTTGAATTGAACTTAAAGAATGAACGGGCCTCGCATATAACCTGGATGATAATTATTTTTTTCACATTTACAAATGAGGTGAAAAGGCTAAACCAAAAACCCCTGCCAACCAACACATGTCTTTCCATAAAGTCCCCAACTGCTGGCTTCAAGAGCAGCCCCACTGGAAGCTTATTTCGGGACGTAACCCACGGTCACTGGTGCTTTGCTTCTTTGGGGCAACACCACGTGGATGGTCACAAGCCAGCTGACTCGGTGAAGTCACACCATCTGAGGCTTGCTGTGCACAACCTTCCCGGGTGAAGGTGCCTTCTGCAAACCTAGTGAGACCATTTGTACATCGAAGGGATGCTCCCCTGAACATTCACCATCATCCTGTTGGAATAACCATCTCTTGCTTCAAACTGAGGTTCTCCCATATTCCATATAGGTCTATTCATTACTTGTTAATGGTTGTCATTTATTACCCCCTTGTTTATTACTGAAATTATGATTCATTAAGTAATAAAAATCTGCTTGGAACATGCAAAAGGAATAAGCTCCTCATTGTTTCAAAGCGTCTTTGCGGATTTTATTGTGCTCTTTTAGGAATAATTTTTTTCTCTTCTATTGAAAAAGAACCATCTCTATGAAACCATGTGGACCAATAAATTATTCATGTATATCCATCATTTTAGGTTAAAAAATAGCTGATTTAGAAGCATTTGTATTGTCAAATTCTATTGCTTTGCAGTTCTGTTCAGTTTCCGTCACCCCCGGCAACTCACACTGCATCACAGCCAAGCTCATCACCTGGAACACTGCCTTTGTGCCGTGCTCCTCCTCACACGGCTCCCTGTTGCTGCCACATCTCATCCAGGCTCCTCCCTGATTACCTTGATGGCAACACCCATCAGCTGCCACACACTCACTTCTGCTACTCTCCACACCAACTCCCTTCTCCAGTCAGCAGGATTTCTTACCAAGCCACATCTCCTCTCCACCCTACACCTACAGGCAAATGCCAGGCTCATCTCCAGCACTTGGCCTCTGCTCCTTTACTCAGCCAGTATTTACTGCCTTGCGACTATTGCCCAGGCCCGGTGAAGGCTGTTCACATATGTAAGACAGGCTCCCTGCTTCTCAATAGCTTATTCCTCTAACAGGCAAGACAGGATACCCAGGTAAATAATTTCCAGAGTATGACAGGTGTTCCAACAGGCATAGGCAAGCTCTACTTCAGCGTCCAAGGAGAACTCTAGCCTGAGTAATACGCCATCTTACCCCTTCTTAGGACTTTCACGTGGGCTGGCATCATCTCCCCATTACATTGCACAATTCAAGGGCAAGGACTCTGTCTCCCAGTTTCTTTGTTTACCTCGCTATACCTAGCATGCTAGGAAATGATTAGACATGTATATTGTATCTAAACTTGTAGTATAATACACCCATTTTATAAAGATTTGAGTTCAGTTTTCTCTCTGTCTTCTTTTTCTGGAGACAGGGTCTCACTCTGTTGCCCAAGATACAGAGCAGTCCTGCAACCATGACTCACTGCAGCCTCGTCCTCCTGTGCTCAAGCCATCCTCCTGCCTCAGCCTCCCCTGTAGGTGAGACTCCAGGCATGTGCCACCATGCCTGGAAAATTTGTAAAGTTTTTTCTAGAGAGGCTTTCTCACTGTTTCCCAGGCTGGTCTCGAATATCTTGCCTCAAGTGATTCTTCCACCTCTGCCTCCCAAAATGTTGGGATTACAGACATGAGTCACCATACCCACATAATTTCTTAAAGAGTAGTACAAATAATAAATAGAATAAAATACATTTTTTAATAAAAATTTCAGTTTTTAATGGGAAAATATGGATTATATGTATCTAATAAAAATAATCTTCAGTTGATACGGTCCTAATTTTTAAAACATGACTATGTGCTTCATTCATTCATTCATTCATGCTCTCAACAATCGTATACTGAAGACTCACTATGATCTAAGTGCTGGCACTTTCTCTACAAGGACAACAAAATGGCCAACTCTGAGGAGCTTCTGTTCTGAGAACTCTCCAAGAGGAACACAATTCTGAACCTTGACCTCCAAGGGCTTTCTGATGTCCCAGAGCCACTGCATCACTAAGTTGGGGCCACCATGCACAGCAGGTTATTCCAAGCATTTCCAAGCTATGGATATATATTTTGTCCATTGTATTTTTTTCTCCCTTTACTTAAAAAAAAATTTGATGTGGTCTGCAATGTGACTGCCCACTGGTCAGCTCCAGCACGGACCACAAACAGCAGGGGGCTTAGAGCACAAACTAAATGGGGTCCACCACACCCTGCTTTCATCTCCCAATATTTTTCATGACTTTTCCCAAAGAGATATAAGCATTAGTGGTTCTGAACTACTATGCCCATAGCATTTTATTACAGTTTGCCCATATAAAGAGTTTTTGTGGCCCGTATAAAGCAGCAACCTCTTTGATAAGTGACATACAGCATTTCCATCCACCCAGATCCAGGGCTGACCTAGAACACAAAGAGAATTCACCAAAGGCTTTCACCAAAATTCTCTATTTTTCTTTCTGCCTTTCGAGAACTAATTTCTCTTAAAAGAAAGAAAATTATCCGTGGTTTCCACTTAAGCCAAACGGCCAGACAGCTCCCAGGAAAAATCTAGAGAGAGGAGGATGATTGGAGAGGCGGAAAGAGAGGACATATACCTCCTTCCTTCTTATCAAGTCCCAATACTCTGCTGCTCAAGGGAATATGGAATCTCAGAAGTACTTGATATGAAAATGACAAAATTCATTTATTGACAGTTGGGTAAAATTGTATCCTAACACAATCACAGAGAGTGCTGTCGTTACTTGAACAAAATAAAGCAACACAAAAACATTTGGCCAATGAGGTTCACAGGACGCAAGAGACTACAAGCTGGTGAGTGACAGGCATACGTTCAAGCCTTGCACTGTCACGGTATGGGGTCAGATCTTCAGAGAAGTTTTGACAAAGGATTTCACTGCCCTCACAATACATTTTATGCCTCTCCTAAGAAACGCTTAATGTCTGCAATTATGTGTCAGCCACCCAAGAGCCTCAGAACGCTATGCAACCGCAGCATGCAAAAGCAAACGTGTCAGAAAGGAAAACTGGGACGCTACTGCCCTCTGCTGGACACACAGGCGAAGGGCGATTCCTGCACCGTCTTTACCGCACCTGGGAGGAGTTCTGGGCATAGCTGCGTGCAGCTGGCGACACTTTACTCAATACAAGAGGTCTTGAGTGCGCAAGGCCTCATCTGGGTCATGGACCCTGCATGACTCTTGTGACTGCTTAGATAAACTACATCTCACCAAGGATGACTCAAAGCAAGGAGTGATATTGAAATATTTTAATTGTTCTTTTTCAGTAGCTGTTATATATTGAAGAAAACGCTTTTGTCAATGTGAAAAATGCCTATTAACGTTTATTCATAACAGTAAACAATTACCACTGCGGTATGTCAAAAGAGATGGGGATGCCAGTATGAACAGGAAAGAGCTGTCCTATCTCACAGGTCAGCGACGTTACACAGTCCAGTGAGGACACGTATGTATGTCTCTTGTGTGTAGATTTGTTTTGTTTTTGAAACCAATACCTTCTTCAAATGTTGCCTTGAAGTACACATTGCAATGGGGTTGACTTAGTTTGAAAATCACTTTGTATTTGGCAAATGCCCAGTCAGGGACCGCAGCCTAGACACACAGAATGCAGCCATGTGAAGGCCATCCAAGTTCAAACACAAACGAAAAAATTAGTGTGTCCAGTTTCCAGTCGTAATAACTTTACCTTACAGACAAGCCGCTGATTCTCGGGAAGTCTGCTTCCCTCCAAATCCAGCTCATTTGGAAGGGAGGAAAACAACATTTAATGAGCCCCTCTCTGTCCTACGCGTCAGCCCATGCAGCCTCACAACTGCACCTTGGGGTACCCAGGATTACGGACATTTTACAGGTGAGATCACGCTCAGAACGCACGTGCAGAAGAGGCAACTGGCAGTCACACATGGCCCACCATGTCTTAGACTTGGAGACATAATCTCACCTGCACATCAGACTCTCTCGACAAGACCCTTCTAAGCTAGGTGGAAAGAGGTAAGTCAAGGAGAGAACACCCAGAGTCTTAGCCCTGATGCTGCACTGACATATCCACGGTCGGGGACACATCCTAATGCTTCCATGCCTCAGCAGCTACATCTGTACAAGGGGACACTCAGTCTCAAACTTGCCTCACTTCATCGTCAGTCAAATGACTCTTTTTTACCCTTGGGTTCTTGGTACTGAGAAGTATTTAAATTAGTCTTTTTTTAAAGTGGTTGCGTGAGCCAGGTGCAGTGGCTCACACCTGTAATCCCAGCACTTTGGGAGGCTGAGGCAGGTGAATCACCTGACGTCAGGAGTTCAAGACCAGGCTGGCCAACATGGTGAAACCCCATCTCTACTAAAAATACAAGTTAGCCAGGTGTGGTGGCAGGCCCCTCTAATCCCAGCTACTTGGGAGGCTGAGGCAGGAGAATCACTAAAACCCGGGAGGCGGAGGCTGCAGTGAGCTGAGATTGAGTCACTGCACTCCAGCCTGGGTGACTGAGAGAGACTCCGTCTCCAAAAATAATTATAATAAAGCAGTTGTGTAGACCAGAGTGAAGAGCTCTGACTCTAGAAGTCCACAAGGCTGGGTGCAAATCCAGGCACTGCCACTCACCAGCTCCACAACCTGTGAAACTCCAAGCCCAAGTTCCCTGCCATCACCCACAAGAGTAACCGGCCTCCTGCAGTGTTGTTCTACGAATCCCAGTAGCCTGCCCCATGGCCAATGCTCAACAAATGCTCATTCATTTCTCTCCCCAGTTACCTTCAAATGTGATGAGTTCTTTATGTAACTTGAGAATTTAAATCCATCTGGGGAAAGAAACTAGATGATTCTCAGGGCCCTTCCAGTCCTGTACTTCTTAAAGTATTACTATGCAAAGTTTTTCTAAGTACTTCTGTAATCCTCGCATGATTACAGAAGCCAGAAGCAGCTTAAAAGGTACCCAGTTCTGTTCTCTTACTTTAGAAATAAATTTTGACCTAATGGGCTCACCCAAGAAGAAACCAAGACTAGAATGTAGCCCAGTGGGCTCCAAAAGACATGATAATGCTGCTTTAACCTACCCCTAACCAGAATGTTCTAGAGCACACACGGCTGCACCCTCTGAGCTATGTGGGGTTGGTAGGGTGAGCCTCACCTCAAATCCCAAAAGGCAGGATGGAAAGCAGGTAGCGCGCCTGATTAGAGAGCTCCTGCAAACCAGCATCATGAGAGGGACTTTTTAATAATCTGGGTAGAAATAAGCCTATAGTCTTAAACACATTTTTAAAAATATGCAGGATTTATCTTGTGTTGGGAATGTGAATAGATTAGCAAAAGCTTCAGCTGAGCACAGTAATGTAAAACCAGCCAACTAAATAAAACCAGAAGGTCTGAAGGAAAGGGAATTACCTGGGCAGAGCTGGGAATTGGAAGATGTTTAACCACAGACATGCCCCACCCCTTGGCTTCCTGTGCTCTGCAACCCCCACCTTTGGGGGACATTTGAGGCAGTGCTCATCCAGTCATAGCGTAGGCCTTTTGCCTCATTTCATTCCTTCCTGAATTCATTATGGTGTTAAACAGGCCTGCCTGTGACCTCGAAAGCGGTGTGACCACAGCTTGGTCCTTGCCCACATCCAGCATCCTCAGCATCCCGTCTCCTGGAATATATCACAAAGATACTTCACTCTCAACTTAGTTTGTCTTTCAGAAATGAATACAAATAGCACCTTGTTTGATGTAATTAGACTGGGCCGGAGCTTGGGTCTGTCTCCCAGGTTTAACAACAGATGACCTGTTATGTGTCACTTCTGTGGCCCTTCCCAGCAGGGACCCCCACCCACCAGGTCTAATTTCACAGGCTTCCTAATTACTTCTTTGTGGTGTGTTTGTTTCCTTGGGTGATTAGTTTTGCAGAATCCCTGCCTGAAGAATGATTGTGGATGTGCTAGCACTGATGTATTCACTTGCCAATGCTCCCACAGCAGTACCAGGCATTTGCATTCACAAGCAGAAGTTATTACAATTTTGTCTTTGGTGTCATGCATGCACATACATATAATTATGAATGAAGATAAATAGCCTTTTAAAAAATCTCTGACAATATTTTTGTAGCACTTGCGTTCATGTGCTGTCTGAACAAATATTAATATAACGCATGACTCTTTTTGGAGTATTGACTTGTCAATATAGCACTGCACAAATCCAGAATTTTAAATACTAACCAAACAAATGTTAAGAAGAAATATTCTACCACAGAGAATCATATATAAATACAAATCTCAGCTTTCCTTTTATCTACCTGACTTAACATATATATACTAGGCATATCGTCTCTTAATTTGTAAAACCAGAAGTCAATTCTACTGGAGAAGTTCATAAACACACAGGCAACCTTCCTGCATGACATATAGCTTAATGGCATATGCATTTGCGTATTTATCTGCATTAGACAAAGATTAACTTTCAAGTCTCCATTAATGCCTAGAAGCAGAAAAATATAGATGTGTCAACCCAAGACTTTTATACAAAGAGGCTCATAGTGCCTTGCTAGTCTCAAAATCTATTCGAAAGACCACCTTAGAGAGGAGGCCCCTTTAATAAAACAGTCACTCAGCCCTTTGGATGGGCTCCCAGGGAAGGTCTCTCAAGCCTCACATTTCACAGCATAGCAAACTTGCTAAATTGGAATACATTTACATCTGTATCTTCTCTTGGTAAGATGGAAAGCCTGGGAAATGGTCTTTGGACTA
This sequence comes from Homo sapiens, assembly GCF_000001405.40. Taxonomy (NCBI): domain Eukaryota; kingdom Metazoa; phylum Chordata; class Mammalia; order Primates; family Hominidae; genus Homo; species Homo sapiens. The sequence continues at coordinate 445,630 of NT_187679.1, forward strand.
GCCTCCAGTAGGAAGAAAGCTAGCTTTTCTCCTTCACTTATTTTTAAGCCTATTAAACCTCAATGTGTTGTAGAAATATGGAAATAGTCCATCTTGAATTAATTTTTGTATAAGGTGTAAGGAAGGGATCCAGTTTCAGCTTTCTACATATGGCTAGCCAGTTTTCCCAGCACCATTTATTAAATAGGGAATCCTTTACCCATTGCTTGTTTTTGTCAGGTTTATCAAAGATCAGATGGTTGTAGATATGCGGCATTATTCCTGAGTTCTCTGTTCTGTTCAATTGGTCTATATCTCTGTTTTGGTACCAGTACCATGCTGTTTTGGTTACTGTAGCCTTGTAGTATAGTTTGAAGTCAGGTAGCATGATGCCTCCAGCTTTGTTCTTTTGGCTTAGGATTGACTTGGTGATGCGGGTTCTTTTTTGGTTCCATATGAACTTTAAAGTATTTTTTTCCAATTCTGTGAAGAAACTCGTTGGTAGCTTGATGGGGATGGCATTGAATCTATAAATTACCTTGGGCAGTATGGCCATTTTCACGATATTGATTCTTCCTACCCATGAGCATGGAATGTTCTTCCATTTCTTTGTATCCTCTTTTATTTCATTGAGCAGTGGTTTGTAGTTCTCCTTGAAGAGGTCCTTCACATCCCTTGTAAGTTGGATTCCTAGGTATTTTATTCTCTTTGAAGCAATTGTGAATGGGAGTTCATGCATGATTTGGCTCTCTGTTTGTTACGGTGTATAAGAATGCTTGTGATTTTTGCACATTGATTTTGTATCCTGAGACTTTGCTGAAGTTGCTTATCAGCTTAAGGAGATTTTGGGCTGAGATGATGGGGTTTTCTAGATATACAATCATGTCATCTGCAAACAGGGACAATTTGGCTTCCTCTTTTCCTAATTGAATGCTCTTTATTTCCTTCTCCTGCCTGATTGCCCTGGCCAGAACTTCCAACACTATGTTGAATAGGAGTGGTGAGAGAGGGCATCCCTGTCTTGTGCCAGTTTTCAAAGGGAATGCTTCCAGTTTTTGTCCATTCAGTATGATATTGGCTGTGGGTTTGTCATAGATAGCTCTTATTATTTTGAGATACATCCCATCAATACCTAATTTATTGAGAGTTTTTAGCATGAAGGGTTGTTGAATTTTGTCAAAGGCCTTTTCTGCATCTATTGAGATAATCATGTGGTTTTTGTCTTTGGTTCTGTTTATATGTTGGATTGCGTTACATGTTAGACCTAAAACCATAAAAACCCTAGAAGAAAACCTAGGCAATACCATTCAGGACATAGGCATGGGTAAGGACTTCATGTCTAAAACACCAAAAGCAATGGCAACAAAAGCCAAAATTGACAAATGGGATCTAATTAAACTAAAGAGCTTCCGCACAGCAAAAGAAACCACCATCAGAGTGAACAGGCAACCTACAGAATGGGAGAAAATTTTTGCAACCTACTCATCTGACAAAGGGCTAATATCCAGAATCTACAATGAACTCAAACAAATTTACAAGAAAAAAACAAACAACCCCATCAAAAAGTGGGCAAAGGATATGAACAGACACTTCTCAAAAGAAGACATTTATGCAGCCAAAAAACACATGAAAAAATGCTCATCATCACTGGCCATCAGAGAAATGCAAATCAAAACCACAATGAGATACCATCTCACACCAGTTAGAATGGTGATCATTAAAAAGTCAGGAAACAACAGGTGCTGGAGAGGATGTGGAGAAAGAGGAACACTTTTACACTGTTGGTGGGACTGTAAACTAGTTCAACCATTGTGGAAGTCAGTGTGGTGATTCCTCAGGGATCTAGAACTAGAAATACCATTTGACCCAGCCATCCCATTACTGGGTATATACCCAAAGGATTATAAATCATGCTGCTATAAAGACACATGCACACGTATGTTTATTGCGGTACTATTCACAATAGCAAAGACTTGGAACCAACCCAAATGTCCAACAATGATAGACTGGATTAAGAAAATGTGGCACATATACACCATGGAATACTATGCAGCCATAAAAATGATGAGTTCATGTCCTTTGTAGGGACATGGATGAAGCTGGAAACCATAATTCTCAGCAAACTATCACAAGGACAAAAAACCAAACACTGCATGTTCTCACTCATAGGTGGGAATTGAACAATGAGAACACATGGACACAGGAAGGGGAACATCACACACTGGGGACTGTTGTGGGGTGGGGGGGAGGGGAGAGGGATAGCATTAGGAGATACACCTAATGCTAAACGACGAGTTAGTGAGTGCAGCACACCAACATGGCACATGTATACATATGTAACAAACCTGCACGTTGTGCACATGTACCCTAAAACTTAAAGTATAATAATAATAAAATTAAAAAAAATAAATAAATAAAATTCAAAATTCAAATATTAATGTTATCAAAGGTTTCCGCCATCTATAATTCAAAACTATTAATACTAAACTTTTAGTATATTTGTCTTCTTTTACTTAAAGAAATAAAAGGTGTCAGAGAAAAAAAAGAAATATGATAACAGTCTGGAAAATAAATTATAAGAAGCAGAACTGATGAATCATTTCAACATACTTACCTGAAGAGTATGAATTTTGTCACATTTAAAAATAGATTGGATGGGCCAGGCACAGTGGCTCACATCCCCAAATATCATGGGGAGTTAATTTGCTCTCACAAGAAAACATGGCTTTTCATGGCTTAAGACAATAAAGATGGATTTCTCCCTCAATCGGTCGGGTCAGTAGGGGTTCGGCTCCACCTGGTTATTCAGGATCCCAAGTGATGGACACTGACCTCTCAGCAAGCGGCCCCATTGCCAAGGCGGGGGAACAGCAGAAGTGCAGAACTTCGCCGGGCGCGGGGGCTCACGCCTGGAATCGCAGCACTTTGGGAGGCCGAGGCGGGCGGATCACGAGGTCAGGAGATCGAGACCATCCTGGCTAACACGGTGAAACCCCGTCTCTACTGAAAATACAAAAAAATTAGCTGTGCTTGGTGGCGAAGCCTGTACTTCCAGCTACTGGGGAGGCTGAGGCGGGAGAATGCCGTGAACCCGGGAGGCGGAGCTTGCAGTGAGCCGAGATCGCGCGGCTGAACTCCAGCCTGGGCGACAGTGAGACTCCGTCAAAAAAAAAAAAAAAAAAAAACAGTGCAGAACTTCCAGCCACTGTTCTATGCTTTACCCCAGAGCTCCCACAAATCACACATTCCCCCTCAGCCCCTACAAATGGCTCCTGTCTGACTAGACACAAGCTGTGGCATGTGGGTGAGCACACGGGTATTCAGAGAGCATTAAATGTCTCTGAAACATCTGGAATCCTTTTTCGGAAGGTCAGAAATGCTCACACTGCACTCACTCAAAGTCCGGCTCCAGTTTTAGAGAGAAGACGTACCCTAAGAACCTTGCTCCTCCTACCTACTTCCTGGCTTTAGAATTGAAAGCCATTCATCAAATGTTCTTGTTTTTAAAGAAAAATAGAAGGTAATATTTGATTTCTCATTAAAGAGACATTGATGAGAATAGAAAGAGCTCTTGCTTTAGAATAAACAGAACGATCTGACTCTAGCTCTAACCTTTATTGCCCATGATACTGAACATTTCTGTATTTTGGGATTTTTTTTACATATTAATGAAAAATCAGCTTGTTAGGAAAATTTTCCTAACTAAATTATAATCTCCTTGAAAGCAGAATCCTCAGCCTAATGCATCTCAAGACCTCCTGAAACACCTAGCATGGCCTCCTTCATGAGCCGAGCTGAGTTACAGCTGCGTCAGGAGTCCTTTCTCCTGCTGGGTGTAGCATGTATTTGTTCTCATCAGGGAAAAGAGACAGCATCTGTCTGGTGCTGATTCATATCAAACTGCAGGTTGTAATCATAGTTTTCGACATTTGAGCTTTAGTATTTCTGATTCTGTCAAGTGGCTTCTGGATCAAACAAACTCTTACCTAGATTAGGGCATGAGGCTTTCATTATTAGCATGTTGGTCTGAAAGCTCTCCCACATTAACACTCTCAGAGGATCACTTTGACTGGTGTATTTGATCTTCGGCTTCTTAAAAAGGAGATAAAATGTTCCGTTCATTGTACTTCACACATTATCTCTGAAAATGTAAACCAAGTCTTATTTTCTTATCCAATCACACCCAACTTTCTTCACTTGGCTTTGAGACATTATTTAATCTGTCCTTTCCTTATTTCTCTATCTCCATGTGGTCCAAAGCTTGCAAAGACCTGTATGAAGGGGTAACATGGTTTGGATTAAACATGCTTGTCCTCTCAAGGAAATAATAACTTTTAGAAGTTTTTGCAACACTGCCCACATTGCCCTAACATGTATTGTCATTTTTTCCATCGGGAGGTGGGGTCTGTTCCGCCACCACGACCATCCTGCGAAACTTGACTCTGGAAAGGATTGTGACTGCTTAGACCCATGCATGTGGCAGATGTGGCCTGGGTGACTCCCAAGCTGGGTCATAAAAGAGGATCTGACTTTTGCTTGTACCCTGGAACATTCATGCTTGGTGTCATAAGCCGCCATACAGGAAAGACAATTGCTCCAAAGACACCAAGCTGTGAGGAAACCAAGCCACATGGAAAGGCCACATGTAGGCCCTCCTGGCAGCAGACCTAGTCTTTGCATCATTCCAGCCCAGACCTGGGAGTAAGTGAGACCATTCTATCCAACTATCAGGTCTTTCCAGCTAATGACCCAGATATCATGGATTAGAGATAAGCCATCATCCCTGTGTCCCTTCTGAATGCTACACTTACGGAATCAATGAAGATAACAAAATGATTGTTCTACACCTTGAAGTTTTAGGGACATTTATTGCAAAGCAAAGTAACTGGAACAGAAATCCATGCCTGTAGGCCCTGTATTGATTTGCTGGGGCTACTGTGGAAAAGTACTACAACTGGGCAGCTTACACAACACGAATATACTGTCTCACAGGTCTGAGGCCAGAAGTCCAAAATCGAGGTGTCGACAGGGTTGGTGCCTTCCAAGTGCTGTAAAGAAAAGACCTGTTTCAGGCCTCTCTCCTCAGCTCACTGGTGTCTGTCTTCTCCCTGTGTGTTTACATCACCCTTGCTCTGTATCCGCCTGCATCTACATTTTTTCCTTATTTCTCTGTCTCCAAATGCAGTCACATTCTGAGCTACTGGAGGTTAAGATTTCAAGATGTGAATTATTGGAGAGCACAATTCAACTTGAACAGGTCCCAAAGCAACTTTCATATGGTGTGGTGTCTCTGGTACCATGAAAGAAATTGTTTAAAATGATTGCATGATTTTGGGGCCAAGTTCTATCTTTCGAGTGTACACAGATACGTATATGTATTTCCGACATATGTCTATATACATGTACGTGTGTGTGTATACCTTGAAGATTTTGTGACTATTCTTCTCCTAGGAGCAGTGATGCAAAAGAATCACCCTGGATCTAGGGCGGATGAGTTCACTGTGGGCTACTCTCCACAGATTTGGGAACAGGGACAGTCAGAGCTAAGGAACCTAGATTCAAGGGTGCCTAACACCGAGCTAGCCCCTATTCTGCAGCCATTTTGGAGGGGGTTTGGCCCCTGTTCCCTTGCAATGGAGAGTCAAATTCTGTAATACTCAGACCACCTCATGAGAGGCTGTGAAAGTAAGATTTAGGAAAGTGTCAGACTCAGCTGAGCAGAATCAGACCCAGAAGACTTAATGATAAAGCAAAATTTTCTCCTCAGGAAGAAAAACGAGGAAGAATGAAGAGATCCCTGCAGAAATTCCATCAGTCAGCACCCCCCCTTGAAGCAGCAGCTGGGAACAGCACTCTGCAGGCTGGTGGTCATGACAGAGAAGCCCTCTCAGATGTAGCCAAGTAGACATCTGTTATCAACGCATTTGCAGGATTTTAGGGGCTATAAATTTCAAGAGGCACCTTCCATAGGATGATGAGAGCAAAATGGGCCCCTGGGGCCAAGAAACTGTGTGGACTGGGGAGTGGGCTGACTGTAACAGGAACAGCAAGACTTGTGAGAAAGGAACTTGTACTAGAACCCTGAGTGGATGACGCAAGAACGAGACTCCTGACCACACCTTCTGCCAGAGCTGGTCTGGTTTCCCCGCACAGTTGTGGCAACCTGACCTCCCCACAGGCTCATCCCCAGTCTGGTCTTTCCTAGACTTAATGCTGACCTTAGATAGAAAGTACTGAAGGCGGCTTTGGCCAATATCCTTGGGTTGGGCAGCACTGCCTCCTATTGTCCAGCACAGATATGGCACCGTAGGTTTCACATCTGGGCTTATGCTTCATTCCCAAGATTTATTATTAAGCTTTCACATCACTTGTGTTACCCAGAATCCAAGTCTCTCATTTGGAAACATGTCTCTCTCCTCTAGGCTGAGGTCCTGTCTCTCAGAACTTGGGTACCAGCCCCTGACTTCCCTGGGTGCCAAAACCTTGAGTCTCTCATTCGGAAACATGTCTCTCTCCTTTAGCCTGAGGTCCTGTCTCTCAGAGCTTGGGTACCAACCCCTGACCACCCTGGGTGCCAAAACCCTGAGAAGCGCTGCAAGCCCCCGGCCTGGACGTATTTCTCAACAGAGCCCTTGCTGGGCTTCAATCCTCCTCCACGTCACCTCCATTACTCTGGCAAAACACCTTCCCCTCAGCCACCTCCCACCTAACTCACTGTTCTTGCTCCTTGTCTTCCAGACACTGAGTTCCTCCTGTCAGCCCAGACTCTCGATATGAACATGTAACCAGTATCTGCCCCGTCCTTGTAAGGGGATTTGTCTCTGTTTTAACAGACTCTGGATGTGAACATAGAACCAGTATCTGCCCCGTCCTTGTAAGGGGATTTGTCTCTGTTTTAACAGACTCTGGATGTGAACATAGAACCAGTATCTGCCCCGTCCTTGTAACCGGATTTGTCTCTGTTTTAACAGACTCTGGATGTGAACATATAACGAGTATCTGCCCTGTTCTTGTAAGGGGATTTGTCTGTTTTAAAATGTAGGCTTTATGATTATTCAGATGTGGTGAGGCCAGCAGGTCAGAAGACAATACGACTGAAAAGATGGTTTGTTACTCACAGGTCGCAGGACAAGTGGGCTCTGCACACCAGAGGCCCACATGGAAAAGCACTGGGGTCACTCAGGAGGCAGAGGGAGTGAGAGAAAGACACAGGCAAGAGTCTTCATTACAGTTCCCACAGGAAGGTACATGAGGCAGGATAAGCAGGTTTAGGATTGGCTAGTTTGAATAACCTTGATGGCCCCTGGGGCTGTTCCTAGTTGTCCAGGACCTGGCCTTGAGCAATCAGGGCAGCAGAACAGTGGCCCTGAGTCTGAGAGCTCCTAAAGAAGTGGGTTGGGGGTATGGCTCTGGGTTGGTTGGTTTGCATTTGAAAGACACACTTGAAGGTGAACCCTTTACTATCTCTAGGAATTGGCTAACTCTGGGAGCGGCAGGCAAGATCGCAGATATCAAAGCATCGGAAAGAAAGACCTGGTTAATAAAGCCTCCAAAAGTCTGAGCCACATCCTGCCATGGTGAACTAGGTATACCCTGACCCATCCCAAGAAATTGTTCCTTCTGTCTTATCTGGAATAAAGGCACTAGTGCACCTCTGCAAGGAAGGGCACCAGCAAGTCTATGTATGGCCCTGATGAGGCAGGTCTGATATTGGCCTAAAAGCCCAGGTGAGGGTTTAGGCACCAAACCATCAAAAGTGTGCATTTGTTGCCTGTGTTTTGCCGCTGGAGTTATACTAATTCCTGTCGCTTTCAGTCGCTGCTCTAGCTAGGCTGGTCTCCATGTGCCACAAAACTATCATAATCACTGCTAAATCCAGGCACTTCACTTCTACTTTTTCCTCTTCTAGAGTTCTTTCCTGTCTTCTCTCTGCCTATGCAAAAGCTACCATTTTTTATAATTGGGGTTTCAGAAGAAAAAACAAAAATTAAATTCTAATGGCTCATATCCCTTCTATAAGCTGAGAACTATATGAAGGTCTTCATATATTATTTCCTTTAGTTCCGTTGGCAAGCCTGAAGGTCGAACATCATCGGCACTTTATCCACTAGGACACAGAGGTGTGAAGCCATTTAACTGACATGCTACACCAGGCAAGAGGCAAAGCTGGGAGCTGGCATCTGCCCAGTCTGACAGCAAAGCCCCCGCCCTTTGCATTCAGCAATGCAGACTCCAAGCCTCACCTCCTCCTGGCAGTTGACCTCAGTCGTCACTCCCTTCCTGGAAATCATTCAACTGTTCTTGGCAGGTCACACATTTTAGATTTTAACTATGGGTTTACTAGAAACTATTTGCCATTTAGACCACAAGCTCTTGGGAAGTAGGCATAATGTCCAACATGACTTCTGTTTCCCACAAAGTATCTTAGCGGTTCTTCCTAGATGCCTAAATGATTGACTTTTACATCTGGGACAGTTCAGTTACAATAGTCGCACTATTTTCCTTCCATTAAATGGGCAAATTGAAGACCATAAATTAAGAGATAAAAACAAACTAACCGTTCCGACTTCCGATCTGTGATGTTGAGATCTAGAAAATGCATTGCTCCGGGATCAACTAGAGCTGAGGAGGAGAAACACTCATGAAGGTCACGCCTCTGTGAACCAAGGACGGAGGTGGAGACCGAGGCTGGGTCAGAACAGCAGAGGATGTGTCCAGCACGGTTCCCTGCACTAACAAGCTTCCAGCGTGAGCAGCAAGGTGCCACGGAGCACTGCGGGGAGCAAGGTGCAACACTGCTGGGAGCAAGGTGCCGCGGGCACTGAGGAGCGAGCTATAAGAGACCGGCGCTCTCCACCGCACAGCACAGAGGGAAGGCCCAAAGCTGAGAGTGGAGCAGACTTTGAGAAACACTTTGGGGAACTGTCCCCACATCAAATACACAGGATTGCTAGAGGAATCTGAAGACTGTGGATCATGGAGGATAATTATAGGAACTACAAATCTCAAACCCTTCCCAACTCCTCACTAGATGAACACAAATGCCCACACTAAAGGCCTCGCAGATCACCCACTTCCACACACAAAAACTATCTAGCTTTGTCTCTACTGTCCTGAACAAGATGTCTGACTTTCCAACAAAAAATTACAAGGCATGTGAAAAGACAGAAAAAAAACAATGCGCTGCCAAGAGACAAAGAAATCTGCAGCCAGGTGCCATGGCTCATGCCTGTAATCCCAGCACTTTGGGAGGCTGAGGCGGGTGGATCACCTGAGGTCAGGAGTTTGGGAACACCCTGGCCAACATGGTGAAACCCCGTCTCTACTAAAAATACAACAAAATTAGCTAGGCGTGGTGGTGCATGCCTGTAATCCCAGCAACTTGGGAGGCTGAGGCAGGAGAATCGCTTGAACCCAGGAGGCGGAAGTTGCACTGTGCCCGGAATTGGTGGGTTCTTGGTCTCGCTGACTTCAAGAATGAAGCTGCGGACCCGTGGACCCTGGCGGTGGACCCTCGCGGTGAGTGTTACAGTTCCTGAAGATGGTGTGTCCGGAGTTTGTTCCTTCAGATGTTCAGATGGGTCCAGAGTTTCTTCCTGCTGGTGGGTTCATGGTCTGGCTGACTTCAGGAGTGAAGCTGCAGACCTTTGCGGTGACTGTTACAGCTCAAAAAGGCAGCATGGACCCAAAGAGTGAGCAGCACCAAGATTTACTGCGAACAGCGGAAGAACAAAACTTCCACAGCCTGGAAAGGGACCAGAGCGGGTTGCCACTGGTGGCCCCACCCACATCCTACTGATTGGTCCATTTTACAGAGAGCTGATTGGTCCATTTTATAGAGAGCTGATTGGTCCATTTTACAGAGAGCTGATTGGCCCATTTTGACAAAGCGCTGATTGGTGCTTTTACAAAACTTTAGCTAGACGTAAAAGTTCTCCAAGTCCCCACCAGATGAGCTAGACACAGAGTGCTGATCAGTGTGTTTACAAACCTCTAGCTAGACAGAGTGCTGACTGGTGTGTTTATAAACCTCTAGCTAGACACAGAGTGTTGATTGGTGCATTTACAAAGCTCTAGCTGGACACAGAGTGCTGATTGGTGTGTTTACAATCCTTTAGCTAAACAGAAAATTTCTCCGAGTTCCCACCCTACCCGGAAGCCCAGCTGGCTTCACCTCTCAATGGCACTGGCCATGGGACTTTTCGGCACCCAGCCCGGGCACTCTGGCAGCCCAGAGGGAGCTCGTCCCCGTATCAAGCCCGGTCAAGCCCAGCAGGTGCCGGCCGGCCTCGCGGAGTGCGGGGCCTGCAGAGCCGCGCCCACCTGGAACCCGCGCCCCGCGCCGGCCCGCCAGCAATGCGTGCAGCCCGGGCTCGGCCTGCGCCTCTCCCTCCACACCTCCCCGCGAACAGAGGGAGCCGGCTCCAGCCTCAGCCAGCCCCAGAGAGGGGTCCCCACAGCGCAGCGGCCGGCTGAAGGGCTCCTGGAGCGCGGCCAGAGAGGACACTGAGGCCGAGGAGGCGCCCAGAGCGAGCAAGGGCTGCTAGCACGTTGTCACCTCTCAGCACCATTGCACTCCAGCCTGGGAGACAGGGCGAAACTCCATCTCGAAAAAAAAAATAAAAGGGAATCTGCATAACTAGACTCAGGTGCGACACAGATGTTGGAGCTATCTGATAAAGAGCTTAAAATAATTATGATTAATAAGTTAAAGCCTTCAATAAAGAGGTGGATGATGTTTAAGATCAGACAGATTATTTCAGCATAGAGATGGAAACTGTAACAAATAATGTAGTTCAAATCCCAGAAATAACAGACAGTAATAGAGATGAAAGCATCTTCTACAGCCCCATTGGAAGACTTAACCGAGAAAATAATCAGTAAACTTAAAGACAGGTCCATAGAAAGTACCTAGGCTAAGACACAAATAAAAAAGACTGTACAGCAGCAGACACGGAATAATGCACCCAAGCACCGTGAGAGACTATCAAATGATCTAACACACGTATACGTGGAATCTCTAAAGAGAGAGAGGAGGAGAATAGGACAAAAGAAATAATAGCCAAGAGTGTCACAAACAGACAACAATGACAGACAACAAATCTCTGAGCCAAATAGCTCACAATACCATACAGGAGTAAGTACCAACACACACACACACACACACACACACACACACACACATACATACACACACACACAGACACACACAGAGACACATGCATACTCACAAGACACACAGAGACAAACACACATACACACATACATACACACACACACACAAGCGCATGCGCATGCATGAACGCCTATATATTTTGTATTCAAACTGAAAACAAAACACAAACAGGTAATCCTGAAGTCAGCCAATGAAACACACATTTCTGTTGGGAGCCAGCTTTCCACAGCTCTCTCCTGTTCCCGAACATCTTACAAAGTGTGTCACTGATTGCTCGTTGTCATTTGTTTGTTGTCTCCTGTCTTCTACCAGCTTCTATGAAACTACAGCAGGCTAAATTTTTAGCTTAAAAGTAGAATAAAAGTTCAGACGCTTTATAGCTCTTACAAATTGTATAACAAGGAGCACAGAAAAATTACAGTAGATCTCACATCAGAAATCACGCAATACAGAATGCAATGGGGTGACATCTTGAAAGCGCTGAAAGAAAAAAAAATATCAACTCAGTGTTTTATTCCCTGTGAGAAAATGAAGGAGAAATAAAGACTTTCTCAGACAAATAAAAACGGAGAGAAATCATTGCCAACAGACCTACATGTAAGAAATGTTAAAGGGAGTTCTCTGGGAGGAAGACATATGACACCAGACAGCAACTTGGATTTATACAAAGCAATGAACAGTGTTAGAAACAGAATAAATGAATATTGGATCTCTAGGTCATCAATACCTGTCCCAACCATCCCTAAATTTGGTCACTTGATAGCCAGCCCCCCAAGTGGTATTGAGAAGAGAGGAACAGTCCTACCACCAGGATGAGGAACCAAGACAGTGCATTAATAGTATTGAGGCCAACTGCATCATACAGTTTTAAATGCCTTGACAATAAATAGCACAAAGAATATTCAGAGTTGAAGTAATTCAAATGCAGACATGTTTCTGAGGGCATCAATTCTTGGGGCTACTGCTACTGCAAAAGTTATCCAGACTCTACCTAGAGAGGTGAGCAACATTCCTTTGGCTGAAATGAATGGAATAAGAGAAAATTGGAAAAATGGAAAAGAAAATTCTATGAAAGGGACAATTTATTTAGGGAAACTTCAACACTCTATAGAAATGAGAAATCACAATGGGAGGTGTTTTGCTTTGTTAGTTTGTATAGGTGGCAGCAGACTTAGGGTTTTTTTCTGTTCACTTGGAGCACAGACCATTTGGACTATGCCGGTTTCTGGGAAGCATGATTGGACAACATGCCATTACCAGTGTTCAGCAATATCCAGCTCTCTTCTTCTTTCTGGGCAGATGGGAGACTATGCTTCCCAGACGCTTGCAGTTAGGCAGAGCCATATAACAACTTCTGGCCCAGGAAACGGGAGCAGAAGCAATATGTGTCACTTTCAGGCCAAAGCCGCGAAAAGTCTCTCCACAGCATCTGAGCTTCTCATTCTCTTTGTCAAAGAACCAGGTCTGGTGTGGAGTTGGTAGAGCAACAGGCTAAAGCTGTATGAATTGCTGGATCATTGCATGGAGGACAGCTGCCCTGGAGAGCTGCCTGGACCCACAGAGGATTCCTATACATTTTTTTCACATTAAGCCACTGAAGAAAAAAAATACCACAGGAAATTAACAATTTTCAAAACTGTTCTTTTACCTAAAGCTCTTTTCATATCTTCAGAATATTTTCTTAGACACAACAGAAAAGAAAATTAGGAGGCAAGAATAAAAAAAAACTTCAAGACGGAAAATATTTTTAAAATTTTCATTCAGATTTTTTTTTTACTTTTAATATATCGGCAAGCATAAGGCTATCTTTGGTTTCCATGCAACTGGCATTGATCATGTTCGTGAATATAGCTAGGATACCAGGGCCAAACCGTGTGTGCTCACTTGTTTTCCTGTCTCAGAACAACATGATACTGAAAAGCGGAGTCCCTCGTGTGATGAAAACGTCTCCAGTTCGCAATCAGTTGAAAATGCAGTGGGCCCACAGCCAGAAAGCATTCCTGTGCCGGATCTTTTTTTCAGCACCCTAAATTAACCAGCTGGAATTCCCTTTTAAGTGCCAACCTACTCAGTTTTTCAGAATGCAGAACTTTTCTTTTAATGGGATCTGTCTCTCATCATAAAGGTGGAACCGTGCATTCTTGATGTCTCTCAAAAGCAGTCTTTTTTATACAGTAAGCTCAGGGAGGGTAAACACAGACGCCAGAGCACTGGTTTGAGACGGGGATGTAGCCGCTGTGCAGAGACTCGGGTAGGGCACCGGCTATCGCGGAGTGAAACCCTCAGCACAGTATCCAGGACTGCCTTGTGCAGAACAGGTCAAGATAAAAGAGGCTATTGTAAATAAATATTTAAATTAATTAAATCTATTGATGAGGAAGAGCTCCATGATGTAGGAGCAGAAGAACTGATGCAATATTTCAAAACTGAGGCTGGGCGTATTCCCGCAGTGTTCCAGGCTGAGGCTGGGCGTGTTCCCGCGGTGTCCCGGGCTGAGGCCGGGCGTGTTCTTCCGGTGTTCTTCCGGTGTTCCGAGCTGAGGCCGGGCGTGTTCCCGCGGTGTCCCGGGCTGAGGCCGGGCGTGTTCCCGCGGTGTCCCGGGCTGAGGCCGGGCGTGTTCCCGCGGTGTCCCGGGCTGAGGCCGGGCGTGTTCTTCAGGTGTTCCGGGCTGAGGCCGGGCGTGTTCCCGCGGTGTCCCGGGCTGAGGCCGGGCGTGTTCCCGCGGTGTCCCGGGCTGAGGCCGGGCGTGTTCTTCCGGTGTTCCGGGCTGAGGCCGGGCGTGTTCCCGCGGTGTCCCGGGCTGAGGCCGGGCGTGTTCCCGCGGTGTCCCGGGCTGAGGCCGGGCGTGTTCTTCCGGTGTTCCGGGCTGAGGCCGGGCGTGTTCTTCCGGTGTTCCAGGCTGAGGCCGGGCTTATTCTTCCGGTGTCCCAGGCTGAGGCCGGGCGTATTCCCGCGGTGTTTCGGGCTGAGGCTGGGCGTATTCTTCCGGTGTTTCTCACATTCTTGTTTGGGAAACTATAACGCGCTGCTCAAAGATCATCTTAATTCTGAAATACCCAAAATCAAAACGCAAGATAGTGAAGGCTATAAAACTCTCACCGTATAAAGATTAACTGATGTAATAGAGGCTTTCCATTTATCTATTCAAAACAGATTACTTGCACATCTGTTAGATGCCAGGTCATGGACTCACCTACCTCATTTATGCAGTGCATGGTATCTTGAGATACTAATACTTTGTCCTCCCTGGATTTTTTCTTCTCCCCAGTGTAGCAGAGTGGGGCATGGGCTATGGAGTCAGCCCGCTATGGCATGTTCTACCACTATACCCTCTCCAGCTATTTCACCTGAATGTTACTTAATCTCTTCCTGCTTGAATTTCCTCATCTATAAAATGAAAATCATATCAGTGAGCATTAAAGACTTAAGACATAGAAAGCATTTAGAAAAGTGACATCACAGACCTCAGTGCGACTCATTATGATTTGCTATTATTATTCTCTTCTTAGCCCTGATTCAAACTGATAGCACTTTCTTGTCTTGGAGAAAGTGTATGACAGAGGAGAAAGCGGAAGTGTTTAGGAAAGTCACTCTGAGGTAAGGGGATCATGCACACCAGTGGAAGGCTCTGAGAACATAGCTTGCCAGTGGCTCTGAACCCTCCCAGAAGCCGCCTCCTGCCACAGCCCTGTCCTTGACCAGGAAGGGAACTCTTGCTAAATACCTCATAGGCCCTGGGTTTCCTCAGCCTGCTCTCAGGGGTCTTCCCTCAAAAGCACAGCTTGTTATTCATGCTATCTCTTCCCCAGGCAACCAGAACCAGGGCCCTGTCCTGCTCTCCCTTGGATCAGGCCCCCTAGGCCACCAGGTGCTTGACTCAGCCTTAGACAGCCTCAGCTAGTTCTGGTGCAGAGCAGGTCTTTGACCTGTTCCATAAAGTCCACCGCTTTGCATAAAGTCATTCTCTGTGATCCTACACTCATTTCCCTTCCCGTTACAGGACACGTCCTCACCTGTCAGGAGTAAGCTAGAGCTGGCTTGCACTGGCTAGGGAAGTTGACTATACTAATGCCTTCTAAACTCTGCTCAGTAATGAGATGCTGATAGCTTAAAACTGGCCATGGAGGGAGTATTTACACCTCAGAAATGCAACAGATGTACATTAGAACTTTTTTACCCAGCTACCACTCTGCCTCAGACCTAGAGGCATAGAATTCCCCCACCCTCACTATCTCTGGACCCCTTGGTGTAGACCAGAATCCTGGGCCTTTTGCTTAGTTGGAAAGAAAGGTGGATAATATTCTCCTTAAATGGTCTCCCATGTAATTCCAATTTCTTCTCCACACTGTTGCCAAAGTTTTCTTTATAAAACACATACTCTAATATGCACAGTTTAAACTTTAACATGATATTCACAGTCCTTCTAATCTGGCCCTAACCTTTCTTTTTACTGCTTTTATCTTAACACATATTTATACATTCTCTTCTTGATCCCAGTGATCACTTGCTATTCCCCAAAGATTACCTGCACTTTCAGGCCTCCATGCCTTTACCTACCCATGGGATGCCCAGCCTTTACCTACCCATGGGATGCCCAGTCTTTACCTATCCATGGGATGCTCAGCCTTTACCTATCCATGGGATGCCCAGCCTTTTAGCCTTCTTAGGCCACATTGGAAGAAAAATAATTATCTTGGGCCACACATAAAATATACCAACACTAGTGATAGCAGATAAGCTAAAAGAAAAAGAAATCACACACAAAGAAATCTCATAATGTTTTAAGAAACTTTACCAATTTGTATTGGACTGCATTCAAAGCCATCCTAGGCCCCATGTGGCCTGGGGGCTACGGGCTAGAACAGCTTGACCAATACTGTTTCCTTGTCCTAGAAGGTGCCCTGTTTGAAACTGACCTCTGAGGCCATCTTCCTGCCTGTGGAGAACAGCCCTGGTACATTCCTTCTTCATCCCTTCAGTAGAACATTAGCAACACCTAATTTTAGATGGCTGTGCTCATGTTTCCTCTTCCCTGCTAAGTTTTCTGCTCCCAAATGGGCATCTGTATCTTACCTTTATATCTACTAGACCAAGATAGACCTCAGTAAAATATCCATGCTCAAAACAACATTTGTGACTAAATTAATGAAGGACTGGAAAAGCCATTGAAAGAAAACAATGGAAACAAAAATTCTTCTTTCTCTTCCCTTCCTGAACAATTCATTCCAAAGGCCATTGAGTGGGTTTGGGCAGGAAAGACAACTATGCCACCTATGAGCAGATGGGGACAGAATGAGGTGACCCCCAGCACAGTGGCAGAGCCTGGGTGGGAAAGGAGGGCAACCAAGAGGGGGCCAGGCAGGAAAGATGCCGGTGTCAGAGCCCAAGCAGGGTAAGAAGGGCACCCACACAGAACTATGTCAAAAGATACCAAGCCACCTGAAAGAGGCTCCCATAGCAAAAGCCAGAAAACAAAATCACCATTAAATAAGTAATGGTAACAGGATAAAATTTATTGAATAAAATAGAAAACCACAAATCGTCATGATGTAAATAAATATATGAATCAATTGGAGTTTGATGAGGAACCTCATGTTTTTATAGTCTCAACATACTTCCCACCAAGTATGTGCTAATTGCAAAGGAAAATAAATAACTTTAATGAATAACTTTAACTTTAGTATATTACATACTAGACAATGTTTGTGCAATAGTTTATGAACACAAAGTACTATTATTATGGCAGCACTAAATACTCCATCTGCCTGTGGAGTACACTGGTAGATATTATTTTAATCAAGTGATCCAACTACACATTATCAGTAATGGGACATATCAAAGTTGGGCACCTCCTCTTATGATGCAGTGAGAGAAGAAAGCAAAGTGTCTCTTTTTCACGGTGTTTCCACCATGTTTTTAGTGGCATTTCTACCAGCGATGCGTATCTTGTATATAATCATGAGGAAACATCAAACAAATCCAAATTAATGGGCATTCCACAGGCATTGGCCTGTCCTTTTCAAAGTTGTCAAGATAATGAAGGTCAAGGAGAAAATGAGGCACTTTTCCAGAGTGAAGGAAATGAGAAGGCTGCGGTACTCCCTTGACATGTGGGGATTACAATTTGAGATGAGATTCGGGTGGGGACACAGAGCCAGACCACACCAACATTTAAGTGCAACAGGGGATTCTGAACTTGATACGTTTGCTATGAAGAATAATATTGTTAGGACAATTAGCAAATTTGAATTGACTCTGCAAATTAAATAGTAGAAACATATCAATATTAATTATCTAATGTTGATGATTATATTGAGTACATGTAGGAATATTCTTGCTTATAGGAAACACAGCACAGAATAGAACGATGGCGTATTAGATCAGTAATTTGTTCTCAAAAGGATGACGAAAAATCATTATTTTCATTGTGCTTATAACTTTTAGAATAAAAACTATAAAAATTGTGTTAATGTATAAATTATTTCTAGTAACTGATAATTAGTCTTTTCTGGAGAACCAACTATACTGATTCTCTGTGTAAACTACTTTTACTAAGTATTAGCAATAAGACCTTTTGATTTTCTTTCTTTTTCTCTTGGCATATTTGGTGCATGTTTTTAATTGTAAAAAATCAAATATATGTTTACTTCATAAATATTGTATTTTTTTAAACTTCTGAGTATGAGTATAGAATTTTTATGCTAAGAAAAATAATTGCGTTTTGGTTTGGTTTCAGTGCTTTTTTTAAAAAAATACTAGTAGTAATAGCAAAAATTAATTTCTTTAACAATCTCTTTTCCTAGATCCACATTTGGTTTTCGGATGTTTGTGAATGGATAAAAGTAGTTTGGTCCCTGTTGCCTCAGGGTGTTTTAAAACCGAAATGGAATATATCAAAGCAGTCAACCACAAACACATACACCTGTGCCCTCAGAAGAGGCACATGGAGCTAAGTGATGACCCTACGCCATGCAGGTACAAACCTGACCTCCCAGCTCCTTTGTCCAGCCCATCATCTTCCTGGGAAGCAACATGACTACTTGGGTTTCAGTTGCCCTCTTTTCCTTGATTCTGAGATTTTATGTCTTCATATTTTAACATTTCTGAAATAAAGAGTAATTTTAAAATCTATGTTCAAAGAAATATGATTGCCCGTACATGTATGAGCATAGCTAAATATGTTGGAATAGGTGACAAAATTTTTAGAGCAAGGGGAGGTAAACCCATGAAGAACCATAAGACAGGCTCAAAAATACTATCTATCAACAGCATCAAGCAGTTGACCTCTCAGAGATCCATGAGTCAAACAAGGAAGGCATGAAACAACAAGTGCAGACACAGCTTTTTCGATGTGCATGGAAAGCATAGAAGCCAGTCACTGTCCTAGTGCTGAGGAGGCCTGAGCAGGAACATGGGTTGTAAGATGCAGAAGTCATTGCAATATTGCCATCATGGCAGATACTAGAAAATGATTCAGGAAAAACCTTAGACGTAGGACATGACAAAGGTTTAGACTCAAACTTCAGAACATAGCATAAATTGGCATAAGTAAACAAATGCTATGGTCAGCATTAAAATTTGTCTACATTTCATGCATTTTTAATGCATAAAAGCTGTATATCTTAAAAATGAGGGTGTCATATATTTTTTAAAAAAACACCAATTCCATAGAGTTTTCACTGACACAATGACTAAAATGGCCAATCATTCTTCCTTTTCAAAAGCTAACGATAACATGAACAAGGATGGAGAAATATGGGATTTGAATTCCTAATTCCTTAATGTCTTGAATTAGGACTTAAATCTCCATAAGGAAAGGGTAGCTGAAGCATTTTCTCAAGGCAATGAGCCTGGGAAAACATGGCACTGTGCAAATAGCATGATGTCATCATCAGATGGCTTCATTCTTCAGTTTACGACTTCTCTTTCACTTCCTAATTATTCTCTTCTGTGTGTGCCAGTGGAAGACTAGGTAGGGTTTTCTAATAATGTTGTTATTAGATCTAATTATTAGATCTAATAATGTTGGCATAGAGTCGGCCCTCAATAAATATTTGCTGAGGGCCAACTAAATAGCTGCTAAATAAATATTTGTTTATTCATACTGACTATTTGAATAAAGCAATTGATTGAGTAGAATTAGTTCAACCACACAGAAAAGAGTGTTACTATCCCCTCTGCCCTACACGGCTTCTAACATGGAAAATGTTCTGAGCTCCATTTTCATTCTGTTTATGAGAACTTTAAGTGTCTTACTGTGGGACTGCTGAAGTTCTGTGAAAAAAATACATCTTACAGATCATATTCAACTACAAAAGAAACTTGTCAGAGAGTTTTATTCTTAAAAATGCCAAAACACCTGTTTTGAAAGCTAACCTATAAACCTTTTCCTTTGTAGATTATATTTCATTATGCTGTTTTGATTAGAACTCTGTTTTACTACACCCTAGGGTGTCAGCATGAAGAGTGAGGCTGAGATAAAATTCTGATTCATGGACTAATGAAAGTCTTGATACTTCACTTCCAAGATGACCTTTATCTTCACTCTGGAGCTCTCACTCAAAGAGCTAAAAGGTCTTGCTGGGCTCAGGCATTCTATATTGTCTCTTTCTTCCACAGTCTAGATGCCAACGTTTGTAATTGTGCAGCAGATGGATATCAAAAACATACAAATTAGATACAAATGGGGTCATATTTGGCCTCTCCAACTTGGCCTATTCTTTTTTCATCAACAGCAAAGGTGCCCCGTTTCAGCATACACTTCCCATTTGTCAGTCACTGGCTTCTCTGGTTTTGGTGTCCTCTTTAATAAGGGGGGACAAGCAATCGAATCCGATAAGAAAGGTTTTGGCCCTTATTTTCTCCTGCTGATGAAATTTCCACAAATATTAAAAGAAATATTTTGGCTGTGTGGACACAACACAAAAATGCAGACTTCTTTTTTTTTTTTTTTTTTTTGAAGGACTGTATCTGGTCAAAGTCCACAGGATTGTTTTAACCTAGTCCTTGGATTAGAGAAATCATAAAACTCATACAGGACTCTTAGGTGTTTACTTCATAGTATCATTTGAAATCAGTAAGCATTAAGTCAGAAACGATGGGCGAGGTAAGGTATTATATTAAATTAAGTGGTAAAAACAGCACAGAATGTGGAATTCGAAGATCTGTTCTTGATTTTCAAGCACTGTCCATCAGTTAAAATTAATTAGATGTGTGACTTTTTCAGAAATTTGGCCTCTTCATCCTTAAAACTGAGAATATGTATTTATACCTAATAATATCGAGAACAACATAATCACTATATTTACTTCACAAGATTATTTAGAAATTCAAAGAAGATAAGATTTGTGCAATAATTTATGACCACAGAGTACTATTATTATGGCAGCACTAACTCATAAACAAGAAGCCATCACGTTTGTTGACCCTACAAAAGCACTGTACCTTCCAATAATTCTAGATACCTGGGAACGTGGCATGATTTCAGTATCCATGCTGCAGGATCATACACCAGGGAATGCATACGATCCAAGAAGACATTCTCTTCAGTAGCAAATTCATCATGGTCAGAGGTAAAGCCACTGTTAGAAGCCAACATAGTCATGTGTAACACCATAATTAGATTGCTTGAAACTGACCTATGTCCAGTGCCAATATTTCCTAGGTTCTTTTAGGATTGTCCGTAGTTGATTGCAAATTTGAGAATATGGAATGAAGATAATATGTACCGTACACAACTTATGGGAAATGTAAACCCACAACATGGTACATTTGCTGTGAAGTCGGTCTGGATCACTTTCAAGGACTCAGAGGTGGGTAAGCCTACACAAGCCTATTCTGCATAAGTGAAAACTAACTTCAAGGAGCACCTGGTGAAGTGAGGAAGGCCTAGGGCTTGGGAGTGTTTAAACAGAAACTAAATAACCCTTGGTAAGAAATGTTACAGGAGGGGCTTAATCTTTTGGTAGGAGGTTGGGCCACCTTTGAGGGTTTCGAGTCAGTCTCTGTGACTCAGTGACGTTGCGTGTTTGATCAGTTTGTGTAACTGGACACTGCAACTAATGAAGTAAATAACACATATAAATTTAACTGAAAATTTTTCCAAGATTCAGATGTCAAATTTTATACTGTATAACTTCTCTTAGACCACTTCTGTTGACATTTCTGTAATCTAAAGACAGTATCTGCCTAAATCTTCCCCAAAAACAATAATTCTAAAGTTTGATATCCAAAGTTTAAAAAGATGTAGCAATTATTCTCATGCACTCTTAATATTGGAGGGAAATTAGGAGGCTTGAAAAATGCTCATTCCTTTTTGGCTCGGTACCTCTGGTAATTCTTCTAGGAACTTATTCTAAAAATGGTCAAAACATACACAAAGTTTATATATAAAGATACTCAATTGGGAGTTATATATACTGGTTAAAATGTTTTGTTTTGTTTTGAGATGGAGTTTCACTCTTGTTGCCCAGACTGGAGTGCAATGGCACGATCTTGATTCACTGCAACCTCTGCCTCTGCCTCCTGGGTTCAAGCTATTCTCCCGCCTCAGCCTCCCAAGTAGCTGGGATTACAGGCACCCACCACCACACCTGGCTAATTTTTGAATTTTTAGTAGAGATGGGGTTTCACCATGTTGGTCAGGCTGGTCTCAAACTCCTGACCTCAGGTGATCCACCCACCTCGGCCTCCTAAAATTCTGGGATTACAGGCAGGAGCCACTGCACCCAGCCTAAAATTTTAAAATAACCTTAATGACCAAAAATAAGGGATTAGTTAAATTATGCACATTTATATAATGAAATAATCTGCAGCCCATTAAAAATCATGTTTTATAAAACTTTATTAACAAAAAGAAATGCTCATGATATAAATTTTAAGAATATGTCTAAAAGCAATGTATATTGTGAGATCTCATTTTTGTTTTATATTTGTATAAAAAAATGGCATTTCCTCTGGCTTTTTCTTTGTGTACACACACACATACACACAGATACACACACACACACACACACACACACACACACACAGGCTAGAGAAAATATGCCAAAATATTAGTAGTAATTGCTATCTCTGAATGATAGAATTAGGCATGATTGTTCTTTTATTCCTTATGTTTCCCAGAATTTTCCAATTTTCTACTATGAACAAATACTTTTGTAATAGGGAAAATCATAAGTGTTATTTCTCTTTTAAAGCTCTTCAAATAAGTTCTTCTGAATTCCATGGCTACCATTTAATTCAATAAACACATTCTGAGGATTAAGTTGGGCCAGTGTTTTATCATTACTATCAAAATAAGAGAGACTGATGGAGACAAAAAACTTCATATGATACACTTTGATGTGTTACATAATATATAATATTTAAATATAATTATATTATTAAACATAATATAATACTTAGAATAATTAAATATATAATTATTGCTGAGTTGCTCTGTTTTATTGATTGATTGATTGATTGATTGATTGAGACAGGTCTCACTCTGTTGCCCAGGCTGGAGTGCAGTGGCACAGTCATGGCTCACTGCAGCCTCAATCTCCAGGGCTCAAGTGATCCTCCTTCCTCAGCCTCCCACGTAGCTGGGACTGAAGCCGTGAGCCATCATGCCTGGCTAATTTTTGTACATTTTGTAGAGACAGGGTTTTGCCATGTTGCCCAGGCTAGTCCTGAATTCCTGGGCTCAAGTGATCCACCTGCCTTGGCCTCCCAAAGTGCTGGGATTACAGGCATGAGCCATGACATCAAGGGGCTCTGTTTAATTTATAGTCACAATTTAAAGATTTATACTATGCGATATGTAATAAGGTACTTGTATTGTTTCCCATCATATTCTATTCTTTGTACATAATCAACGTTCAATATTTCTTAAGGAAAGAAAAAAGGAAGGGAAAGAGTAACGATTAAATGTATTCCTTATAAAAATGAGTATAGTTCCCTACTATGCTATTTCTATGAAAAACTTAAATTTGACATCGCTATTTTAGCATTTGTCCTATTTTTTCAGAATATATCCCACAGAACAAGACCGAAAAAAAATGGTGATTCTCCAAAGGCCACCAGTGAAGCAGTGATGGAAGTTTGTAGATATCACCCCAAACACACTTAGGCTCCAGGAGGCCACCTCAACAAATCCTGTGTTCAGTTTGGAGATGGAGACTTTCTTCACCATCCTGACTTGCTCAGTGCGACCTTGGGAAAAGAGAAGGATGCAGCTGAGCTGCTGGTCCTGAGGTGCCTCAACTGCCTGGCCACTGCATGCAAGGATGCGGCTGAGCTGCTGGTCCTGAGGTCCCTCACCTGCCTGGCCACTGCATGCAAGGATGCGGCTGAGCTGCTGGTCCTGAGGTCCCTCACCTGCCTGGCCACTGCATGCAAGGATGCGGCTGAGCTGCTGGTCCTGAGGTCCCTCACCTGCCTGGCCACTGCATGCAAGGATGCGGCTGAGCTGCTGGTCCTGAGGTCCCTCACCTGCCTGGCCACTGCATGCAAGGATGCGGCTGAGCTGCTGGTCCTGAGGTCCCTCACCTGCCTGGCCACTGCATGCAAGGATGCGGCTGAGCTGCTGGTCCTGAGGTCCCTCACCTGCCTGGCCACTGCATGCAAGGATGCGGCTGAGCTGCTGGTCCTGAGGTCCCTCACCTGCCTGGCCACTGCATTCCTCCCGCTGCCTCCCTTGTCTCTGTGGACCCGTCAGACTGCTGCCTCTGCTGATTAGTGACACAAGACCAACAGTGGTTCTGGAGAGACAAACTACCAAATTACACAGATTTAGCACATACGTGTGGAAAACAAAAAATTCAGGGCAGAGTTTGGTTTAGGCAGACTTTTGTTAAACAAATACAGTCAAATCTGTTTCGGATGATTATCTACAGAGTTGGACGCCATGAGAAAGTCAATCCTTTCATAAAAAACATGACTCAAAAGCTCATTAACTATTTTGGAAAAGAAAAACTCAGTAAACTCATAAACTTTAATGAAAAAATTAACATATTAGGTTTTTTTAATTTAATAATATAATGTCCCTGAAGTTCCATGATATTTCTGAAGAAATTGCCTTGTATGAAGTCACACTGTTGGGGCTCAAGCTAAAAGCCATCAGCCAACCTCCATGGAAATCAAACACTGGTTTGAGTGGTGGCTTGGGAGAAATACACACCAACAATCAACATGTCCTGTCTCGGTGTGATGTACCTGAGCGTCCTGTCTCAGTATGATGTACCTGAGTGTTTGTCTCAGTATCATGTACCTGAGTGTCCTGTCTCAGTATGATGTACCTGAGCGTCCTGTCTCAGTCTGATGTACCTGAGTGACCTGAATCTTTAAGAGGCAAGAAGCAACTTAGTATGTGGTTCATGTTTTTAAGGAGAAGGGATGGTTTCTCTCCAGGGCTGACAACAGTTAACAGGCTGAAGATAACACAGAAAATAGGAAAAGCCGCCCTTCTCCTAAATGTTCCATTAAAAGTGAAAAGCTTCATTGCTATATGCAATTGGTTTTGAAATCTCCATGACTGGAAGTCAGAAATGTTAGAAGTTAATACACTGTTCGGGGACCAAGTGGACTTCTGATGTTCAGAGGGGATGTTTTCAAGGTGAATCCAAAGCCTATAAACAAACAAAAAAAAACACTCCATCAGCTATATCAGAAACTTTTTCCATTATCAGAAAACTTATCCGTATAAATTCTTCATTGCTTAAAATGACAGACTGAAAGCAAAGCCACATGTTGCTTGCTTCATTGCCTGTTGTGGCAGCTTTTAAATCCCTGCCTTCCTAGGAAGTGACCTCATAAGAAAATCTTATAAGACTGTCCTGTGGGGAAATCCTCATAACATTTGGGTTAATGCGCTTACACTGCAGGAGAGGTCACCAGGAACATCCAATCATCAGAAAGTCCTACAGGGACGTGATGTTACCTGGGTCATGGAAGGATCTCTCTCAACACACATCTGGGGTGTTTTGTGGCATATTCTATAGCAGGCCATGTGGCTTAATAGTTAAAATATGGGGCTGAAAGTTACGAGGGTTGGGGGATCATATGGCAGCTGAGCTATTGCCTGACACGCTGACCCTACACAACTCATGAGTTCGTGGTACTTCAGTCAGCTTAGCTGTAAAATTGGGCACAAAGGCCAGACTTTACCAAAACCAGATGTTGGACTCCAGCTCTGTTCCTCAACTAATATCTTTTTTTAATGTGGCTGTCAAGTCTCAATTTGTGTGTGTGTATGTGTAGCAATATATATAGAAAGGCAAAGGGAAACTGGAGCTTACTCTCCGAGTAAGACTGGCAGGGATGAGCAAGGTCCAAGAATGCTGGCCCTGACCCATTCCATATCCTAGCCTCTCCCACCTGGCCAGGCTCATGTGTGTCACAGAAGTTGCAGCAGCTTGTGCACATTCAGAGCCTACTGTTTGGAGTAAGTTAATTATAACTAGAGTCATTTTTACGTATCCCTAAGAGAGGCCCTTAATGGGTATGAGTCACGGAAGAGCCACAAATCCCAGCATATAGATTCATACTGACCCTCCTTAGCTCACTACTTTTCTAGGCTGTGGGTCCCTACCACAAAAATAGTTGGTAGACATCAGTTTCCTCCTCTTGAGAACAGTAGAAACTCTTTTAGCTGACTTTCTCTGAGGCCAGCTCCCCCAGTTAGCCAAGCTCCCACTTCCTCTGCAAAGCATGCTGAATAATGCTGCTTCTGGGTCCCAAGCACCCCAGGATACGTGCTCCCCTCTCCCCTCCCAGGTGCTGTTTGGGTACCATGAGTCAGTACCAAGCCCATTTAGGACAGTTGCCATCGTAATTATCTAAAGAACTATTACTGAAACTCGAGTAAGAGTGCACAAAGAAATTTATTGTTTCCTATTCATTAAAAAACCGAAGTGATTATTTTGAAATAGCTCAGAAGGGTGAGTTCCTATTAAAAATAGTTACAAAATTACGTAAAACTCCATAAGGGTTTTGCCTTCAGGACACTCTGCAAGTATCTTTAAATTCTCACTCCATTTGAAAGAAATGGATAATGCATTAGAGTTGTGCTTTCTGGAAGGAAGACAATTAGGATTACAATCAGCCATCCCACCATGACAGAAAAGGCCTTGGCTCCATGTGAAAAGTTAGCAACAATCTATTGTATGTTTCTAATGAGCTGGAAGAGACGACTTGAGATGTTCCTAACACATAGAAATGATAAATATTCAAGGTGGTGGATGCTCTAAATACCCAGACTTGACCATTGCACATTCCATGCATGTAGCAAAATGTCCCAGGTGCCCCATAAATACGTACAAATGTTACATATTAATTTAAAAGATTGGCAAACCAATATATGTGTACACTTTTAAAGTTCAAATAATGGATGTGTATAATAGGTATTTACATGCATAAATATGTATGCCTATATTTATATATATATACATACACACACTAGCACCTACATTTTACGTATCAAGTGACTGTTGATTAATCAACAAATAATCCTAATCTTGTCAATCAAGATAACTTTTGCACTATTTCATTATTTTCCTAATTAGTATTCTCCAATTACTAGTGAAGAAGCAAGTCTGTCGTTTCTGACTTTCTTTCTTTCAAGTGTCTCTGTCATTGGCCCATGCAGATTTCACTTGGGCTGTGAACTGAGGTTTTCAGCCCTCACTGGAGCCAGATGGCAGAAAGATTGTTGGTAGGGCTCTAAGCCAGGCAGAAGGCACCCTGCTCTGAGGCACAGCTTTGTTTAATACAACAGCTCCCCTGTGCCCAACACTCATACTGCCCCAGGAAGTCATGCCAAAGCCCAATCCTGCCAACATTCATGATGCAGAGAAGGAAGCCACAGACTAATCCAACTGGACCAAGCACCCATCTCTCCTTCACTGACTAAAGCAAATCAAGGGCCAACTGTAACATTCAAAACCAGACGGTCGACAATCCTGTCAACTGGAACAGCATATTTTAATAGAAAATATAGTTGATTCCAAAATCCAAGAGCTACCCATCTGTACTCTCAATGAGAAATATAAATAAACAAAAGGATCATGCATTTTATTAATCTTTTTGAAAACTACTGACTCTTGGCTGATGGTGGGTAAGGACTCATATTTTGTCAGTAGTGGCCAAAAAATGACAATATTTTAATAGTAAAAAACTCAGCCTGAGATGTTGTTAGGGAAAGAAAAAGATTGTCTCCCAGTTCTAGTGATCTGTAGGATCCCAGATCTAGTGATCCTATAGGAACGTCTAAGACAGTGAAACATGAAGAGTTAATGGTCACTCTTCATAAGAGGACACACAAGGAAGAAATTCTACAGACAACAGCAAAAAGAAATGCTCTTGTGGGGTGAAACTACACTGTCCATGGACTTTTACCACTGCTTTGTGGAGAATTGTTGTGAAAATATAGAATAAGTAGCTGCAGGAATTCTCTCATCAGACACTATTATGCCACCTCCCAAGTAACATTAGTGTACAGTGCAAAATTTGGAACTAAAGGAAAAAAACACTTATTTGAGAAAACATTGACATTTACAGGTAGTTACATTACATTTAGCAGCTTGTTGTTCCTTTGATCATCTATGAGCTGCCTAAAGCAGTTTGCTGCCGTATGGAAAAATCTAGACCCAGAGAACCAAAGATATTGTAACATGAGCCAGAATGACATTATCACTGAGAACGCAGCAACATGCAATGAGAGGAGTCGGCCTGCCTGAGAAACTCAAGATCTCCTTGGAAATGCCTTCTTTTTCTTTAGACATAGTCACTGACTCTTTCTAGCTTGTCTCAAGGTGAGACTTCATCCCAGGTATTTCCTGTGAAGTAAGATTGTTTCACCAGAACCTGAAACATTTTTCCATCACACATTGCCTCACAGTATGTGACAATAAAATGGACTTCAGTCATGTTATTTACATGGAAGAACTGGGCTTGGCAAATTTGCTATGTTCTGTATGAAACCAAGTATACCTTTTAAACTGCCTAAGAGTTTGATCTATTACAAATATAACAGGACAAACTCTTTTGACCCATGGTTAAACAAGCTCTCCAAGACTGGAATTTAAAAGGACATGGCATAAATTCTGTGGTGAGTTGAGACCTCTAGGTATCAAGTCTCAGCAAAGTCAGGTGTCCTTCTCATTGCCTCCCAGGTGGAGATTCAAGAATGAACATGTTGGCTGGGCACGGTGGCTCATGCCTGTAATCCCAGCACTCTGGGAGGCTGAGATGGGTAGATCACCTGAGGTCAGGAGTTCCAGACCAGCCTGGTCAACATGGTGAAACCCCATCTCTACTAAAAATACAAAAATTCACTGAGTGTGGTGGGGGCAGCACCTGTAATCCCAGCTACCCGGGAGGCTGAGTCAGGAGAATCACTTGAAACCGGGAGGTGGAGGTTGCAGTGAACCAAGATTGTGCCATTGCACTCAAGCCTGGGCAACAAGAGTGAAACTCTGTCTCAAAAAAAAAAAAAAAAAAAAAAAAAGAATGAACATGTTGAGATGACACATTCTAGCATGGACCTCCCATTATGGTAGGTTATTCAATCCAGCTTAGCAACTTATTTTATCCCAGGAACAAGGGACTGAATTCTATGTGGGTCACATTTGTACAGCTAAAACCCCCCGTGATCACTGGATAATAATGCAGCCTTATGTTCTGCACGGTCTAGCTGTATATAGTGGGGACACGTGATCACCTTCTCAGGCTTGGTTTTTTTTCTGTCTAGCCAATGGACTTCAGACTGTCAGAGAGTCTTCACTTTAGACTGACTACAAATCACCTGCAGAGTTTCGTATACATACAGCTGCAGTAGGTCTAGGATGGAGACCAGATCTCCTGTGTTAAAGAATCTTCCAGGCGGTTTGGACACCAACGGGGTGTAAACCACACTGTTGAACCAGAGAGAGACGATGACTTTGAACTCTGAAGGACCATCTCAGTTCTAAAGCATCTAGCACCAGAGTCAGCCCCCAGCAAATTGAGAAACTAGACTTTGGGCTCAGGAAATACCTCCCTGGGTCAAAGTAAACCAAGTTAAGGTGGCAAATTTCCCCCCAAAGTTCTTGTTATTGTCAGCAGCATCAATAGGAATAGGGTATTTGTTCAGCAGCCCTGTTACATTCCCAAAGGCAGATTGCAAAGATCACGTGGCTGTGTCATTTAAATTTCAGAAATACAAGAGACTTGGAGCCATTTATATTAGAGTCAGTTTTGTCAAAACAATTTATGGTACATCTCACACCCTGCATGTTTCATAAAACCCTTTCTATAGAAAGGGAGATTATTGTGGACCAACCTACCACAGCATTGCCTACTACCAGTGACTGCATTTTGTGATATATTAAGTTATCCTGGTTGGAATTCTACTGTTGATTGTCTAGTGCTATATCCAGTAACAAATCACATGTATGTTATAAGACATCCAGACTGATGTGGGCTCAGAAGGCACCTGCATAAAGTTTTTCAAAAGAACAGTCATAAGTTTTACTAGATGTGACAAACCTTATAAAAGTTAAATAATGTCACGCTTTATAAGCATTTCATTTAATACAACTGAACACATGGAGGGCATTGAGGAT
This sequence comes from Homo sapiens, assembly GCF_000001405.40. Lineage (NCBI taxonomy): Eukaryota > Metazoa > Chordata > Mammalia > Primates > Hominidae > Homo > Homo sapiens. The sequence continues at coordinate 475,369 of NT_187679.1, forward strand.
AATATTTAATTTTTTCCATATGTGGATTTAATACCACATAGAAGTTCTAGTCCCAGATTGCTAATTTTCCACCATGTGGTAGCCATTTAGTTGTATTTTTTAAAATACTTACCAAATTACAGAGTCGAGTTTCAGAGGCAGCAGCTATGAGGAGGTTTAGGGTGCATGGTATCCCTTTGGCTTAGCCCTGGGTCTCATGAGGAGGCAGTAAATCGTGACAGTATTTTCATGGCAGCACTGACTGCTTTTCATAAGAATGAAGGTGAGTTTGCAAAGCCACATGCTAATGCACTTCTAAAAATAGATTTGATGAATGGGACTCCTTCAAATTCTGACCAGTTTTAGCCACCTATTGGAATGCAGACCAGCACGGAAGATTCAGCTTTTTCAGACGTGTCTATGAATTATAAGGCTTTCAAAAAAATTTTTACTCTGGAAAAGTGAGCTGGACCCAGAGTTTTAATTGCTCATTCTTCAAAGTGAGACTTCAGATATGTCATTTAGCCTCTTCTTTGCTTGTGTATATTTATATCTTTAATTGGGACAATAATATTTTCCTTCATTTTCATAGCAAAGAAAAGAACAGTCTTAGATAGTCAGGTTAGAGGAACAGCACCTCCCAATACCAGCTACAGTTTATCTTCTATGACCATAAACAGGGAATTGAATCTTCTAGACAAGAAAGACCAAACGTCTCTCTATTTATTCATTTTCTGTCTTATTCTAAAATAGCTTTGAGTAGCTGAATCAGCTACTCAAAGAATTTGAAGAAATTCTTAGAAAGAGACAAAACCCTATTGGCAGGGTGTTTGGGTCGGCAGGTGAAGGCACATATCATTCATGCCCAGCACCACCATCTAATGTGATCAATGCACAAGAAGGTGCCGTGAAACTTTAACGCTCCATCCAAATGTTAGTAATTATTATTAACCCAGTGAGACTGAGCAGAAACCTGGAACCACTGGTCAGAGCCGACATCTGGATTCGATGGTCAGAAATAAGGACACCACGCTGTATACCTATTTGATGATTCATGTCTGTCTGGCCCAGGATAAGAAATACCCTTTCAAAATCATCAACCCCTGGGCAGACATGTTTTATCTCCCTGAACCAATTACAGTTAATTCTCCCGGGTTCACATAGTTTGGGACCAAGTCTATTTCACACAAAACTGAATACTCCAGACAACGTACCTGGGAAAACTTAAAAATGCATACATGGGACTCTCCACGGAGCCTCGTAACACAGCGTGGGCGATGGGCATAACTGTATGACTTTCGGGTTTGCAAAACTAGCGGGCGCAGCCATCAGAGCCCCAGAGTAGGAGACTGTCCAGTGAGAGAGACTGCCTGCCAGAATTCTGGAGTGATCTCTCGGCCAAAGAGTATTTAATGGAATCAAAAGTCATACACACTTTTACTCAGGCAAAGAAAAAGTGGCATCTCGTTTTCTATGACTAATTGACCCTCTCACCCAGCCTCACGGGGCTGGCTACCAGAGGGAGTTGGAGTGAAACCCTTTCAACTTTCCATTTAATGGTGTCTCATTCTCTTACACTTCAAAAAGTCTCGTAGCAACTGGCTGTGTCTCTTGGGGTAAACATTCTGACTTTCAGGTATCCACAGCAATGGCCCAGGCAACAGGCATATGTGATGTGAGGAAGAGGCTTTGAGTCTGCATGGGTCCTTTGAGTCTTCACTAATTTCTGCTGCAGAGCCACCAGCTGGCCACGTTTCCTGGGACCTGGAAGATTCTGCTAAGGCATGCCTGGTGAGGTTGTCTTTACTTTATTTTCTGGGACAGTGCCTTGTGCGGCTGTGGGCCCTTTCCCCACCACCTCACCCCAGATCTCTTCTGTGGCCATGTCTGTCTCCTGGAGGGCTGTTTGTGGTGTGACCTTTGCAGCAGGGTCACACCCATTTACCACGGTGGCCCCTGCAAGAAAGGCCTCAGCTCCCAGCAGAGCTGGTGACCGGGGACCTCCCCTGTGCCCTCAGGGCCCCAGCAGGCTAACCAGGCTCCCTCTGCCCTGCCATAGCACATTCCCTCTGTGATCACGGCCCCATCCCACCAACGTTCAAAACAGTGCACAGGAGAACAGGCCTCCTGCCACGCGCTGTCCCTCAGCCTCGCCTCCTCTGTGAGATTTCAGCCGGGAGTGGGAGCCACGATGCTCATCCGCTGTCTACCTGCCTCTCTCTACCTTACCTGCTGCATCTACCTGCCTCTCTCTCCCTTACCATGCTGCGATGCCTGGCTGTGTCTACCTGCCTCTCTCTCCCTTACCTGCTGCGATGCCTGGCTGTGTCTACCTGCCTCTCTCTCCCTTACCTGCTGCATCTACCTGCTTCTCTCTCCCTTACCTGCTGCGATGCCTGGCTGTGTCTACCTGCCTTTCTCTCCCTTACCCGGCTGCGATGCTTGTCTGTGTCTACCTGTCTCTCTCTCCCTTACCTGCTGCAATGCCTGGCCATGATGTAAGGGTTCTCCACCTCCTCTGCAGCAGGGAAAGGACTTCCCTAAGATCGGACTCTGGTTCCCTCCATCCTATGACTCACAATACCCCTCTGTGATCCAGGCTGGTCACAGATATGCTAATAAAGTGAAAGAAATTTAGAAAACTCATTTCCACCTCTCTAGCCCCTGGCTTTTCAGCCTGAGGTAGATTCCAAAGCAGGGGCACGTCATGCAGACTCAGGAGGCAGCTGAAAGGTGCTCCTGCAGGCCCAATAGGGGATAATTTGAACACCAAAATAATTAAGGACAGTAACAAATTACAGACCATTTACAAGATCTTGTTAATGAGTCCATGCCAATAATCAATAGGTAAACAAATCAGTGCAGGGAAAAGAAGGATCTCACTAATAGTAGAACGCTAAGCGTCAACTGGGAAACGTGAAGAAGCAACTGTCACTTCGCAGCCACCACGGTAAACTTCAGTTCAGTAACCAACAGAGGCCAAATCTAGGGGGAGATTTTCGTGTGATTTGCATGGTCTCCCAGAGATTAAAGTGATTCAAGTTACCATCAACATTGAAGAACAGATGGACATCCCGTGCCCCTAGAGAAAAACACACATCACTTCTGGCCCAGAATGAGGAGCCTGAATCTAACCACGCAGAGCCGTCGGACAAACACAAACCACGCAGACCCGTCGGACAAACACAAACCACGCAGAGCCGTCGGACAAACACAAACCAGGCAGAGCCGTCGGACAAACACAAACCACGCAGACCCGTCGGACAAACACAAACCATGCAGAGCCGTCGGACAAACACAAACCAGGCAGACCCGTTGGACAAATTCAAAATGAGAAACCGTCTCTCTTTCTGAAACGGACTGTATTCTTCAAAGTGTCCACGTCATAAAAGGCAAAAATAGGCTTCTGAAATGTTCCAGGAGGCTAGAAAAACGCATGACAATCTCTTCCTAGACTGGATCATGTACTGGAGGAAGAAAAAAGGCTGGGAAGGACTTTATGGGGTCAGTTGACAAAAATGGAACGCTGATGGTAGTTGGACAGGATCACTGTAGCAACATTAACTGTTCTAAAGAGATATCCTTATTCTTCAAAAATACACACTGAAGTTTTAGGGCCATGATGAATGCAATTTACTCTGAAATAGTACAGGACAAAAATATCAAGAAAAAATTAAAATATGCATAAAACATACATAAAAATAGAGAGGGCAAAAGTAAAAAGAGAGAGAAAAAAGCAAATAAGAGAGAAAAAGGAAAATAATGCTAAAAGTAGATTAATCTGGGTAATCAGGTGTCCTATGTACTATTCTTATTTTAGTAATTTTTCTTTAAATGTGAAACTATTTCCAAATCAAAGTTGTTGTTGTTGTTTTTAATTTCTGTCTTTCCCTTACATGTGTTGTATAATTTGGTGGTTTTATCGCAACCTGTAATTTCTGAAAATATTAGAGTGGTCTATGAATAAATAAAATAAATTTTATGATGCTTTCAAATAATCTTTAACAAGAAAAAAATACAGGTAAGGAGCAAATTAAACATTTGAAAAATAAACTACAGATTTACATATAAAAGCATGATCACCGATTTGATCAGGAAAAAAGCTAAATAGAACTGTGAAAAATGCAATATTTTTGTCAGTTTAAAATATAAAGGAATATTTTCTTTAGCTAAAATTATGCACAGAGTGAGATTATAAAACATATTTTCACATCATATTTTTTCAAAATTGTGTTTTTAATTCACAGATATTTCTAGACTGTCAAAATAGAACAAAATTTATTTCTATAGAGGATAAAGTTTCTAGCGTAAACACAACACACGATTTTTTTAGGCAGTGGGAATGCTATTGTTTTCTCTGAATTCATAGGCAAGTTATAATAACCTCCTCTTTTCAATTCTATGAAGTTTTAGAGTTTTGTTTCAGGAACTTAAAACTTCTTTTCAGATTTTTGGTGAACCTTTTACTTTCTCTCTTCAGATACCTGGTATCTTTATGTATTTTCAAAAGGGAAGCTGAAGATGTACTGAATTTAATGTTTAAATAAAGAAAATGTCTTACTATTCTAAATCTTGTGTTCTAGCAGGATAAACACTTTAAAGAAATGCAATGGAACTCTTTCAACAGAATTTCCGGGTCCAAAAGGTAGGTGGTGATTATTTTGGGGAGAGGTTTCTTGCAACCTGAAATTATGCCAGGTAAAGCCTACCCCCAATTTCTTAAGGGCTGTCCTGTGGTTATTGCTGTCAGACAGCTGACAAATAAACTGGCTTAAAAGAAAAAACCTAAAATAAAATATGTCAAAAAGCTAAAATATAACATAAACACATAAAATGTAAAACTAACACAAAGCACAAGTTTATAAGTAGCTTTTGGACAAAGCCTGCATTTCTTTGCCACATGAAATAGAACATGAAAGCAGGATAATTCCTGCTTAAACAAAGATCGAGTTTCCTTTAGATCTCTGTGACAAAATCTCACCCACTGTCACTTCCACAAGCAACACCGTTTTCTGCGGAACTGAGGAGATGCCTCCATCTGAGCAACAATGTCTACCTTCTGACCTTCCGCACTTGAACCTCCCTGGCGCCATGTCTCCCTGAGCTGTCAACAGCACAGCACACTCCCAGTCACCCACCAAAAATGCAAAAATCTCTTTTAAAGAAAAATAGGAAGGCACAAGCTCACTGTGAGCTGGTAAACTTTAGATACATAGAATCCTTATCTGGTGACATAACTTGTAACCTGATTTGCTCGAACACCGAGAGCCATGACCAGTCTACAAGGGCCCTTCAGGGAATGAGAAAAGGTTCTCTTTAGAGAGAAGCAATCCTCCAGCACCTTCTCCAATTCTGTGGGTTCTGCTCCATGTGATAGCATCTGAAGCTGTGGTTGTCTGGGGTTCAACTGGGCTGAAATACGCGAAATGCTTCACTCATGTGATTGGCATTGGTGCTGGCCATCAGCTGTGAGCTCATCCAGGGCATCTAAGGGAGCATTTCCATTCGCTTCTACATGGCCTCTCCCTGCGTCTTGGACTTCTTACAGTATGGAGACAGGTTCCCAAGACTGAGGATCTCAAGAGCAAGCATTCCAAGAGAAATGAAGTGGCTGTCACTTAAGGCTTAGGCTTAGGAGCTCCAAATGCCATCTCTGTCACATTCTATCCTAAAGCAGTCACAAGGCCAGCTTGGATTCTAGTGACGGGAAATCTGTTCTGTCTTTTGACAGGATGGGCAGGAAGCATATGCGGAGAGAGGTGGAATGTTGTGGACCGTCTCAGGAGACAAGCTACCACACTGCACAGCTGACATTGGGCAGCCCTGCCCGAGCCCAGCGGCCTTGCTGATACCCATGTCCTCGGATGATCTGTTTTTGGTTTTGCTTTTGTTATTTTTGCTAGGTTCACAGTCAAATCAGGATAAGTCCGAACTGTCCCAAATCACCCGATCCTCAACCTCATTGTTCTGGCAGTCTAAAAAGTAATCATGGTCTGCCTACTCACATTTAAATACACATTTTAAAAATAATTCTTTCCTTAAAGCCGATCTTTAAATCAATCATCCTTCTGCATTTTAGCTGTCTGGATGCCAGTCTTATCTTTCCCCTATGGTCTTCTCATTTCCCAGTCATTATAAATTAGTGTGTCAAAAATTCACGTTGATGTAGCACAACATCATATCCATAATATAATTCATGCCTTCAATGAAAGAGTTTTGCTTCAAAGGTAGACGTCATTAGTAAGTGGTGAAATTTCACATGTGGTTAAAACTTCTTTTTGCCGGTAAAAATAAAACACTCACAAGTAATACTTTAGAGCCATTTTTAACCTCTTATAAAATACAAAAAGTAAGGCAGAAAAGGAGGAAACGATGTTTCCAATCTCTGTTTAATTTATTCCCACTGCGGGCAAATCACTTTTCCTTAGATTTACAAGTTTTCCTATAAATGTGTGACACTGCCTTTGAGTAATTGCTACCTAATAAATAGCTCTAGCTTCCTCCATGTTTTATTACTGAGAGACAAAACCTTCACCAAATAGACTCATTTCTAGTTGGGAGTCATCCTCATGGTGTCTGTGAGGACTTTGCTGGGTGCCAGGTCAGAAATGAATGAGCTTTGGCAGAGACTCTGCAGGTGGCCTAATCTAGTCCGCACGATGCTCCAGGGAAAGACGAAACCCTCTTACAAAGCAACCGTCTGTTCCAGAAAGGGGGACTATCCCCCAGGGTGGCCATGCCAGACACCTAGTGGGCTCGGATGCTCAGAGAGTAATTGGATGTCAACTGCCTGTTTAAGCACCGTCTGCCTCTGACCACCAGATATGACAAGCTGTAATATATTATTCAAAAACTGTAGAGTTAAGAGGGTGATAAGTAGAGAAACAACTACAAAAGGAATATTCTTATAGACAGACCAAGTTCTAAGAAGAGTCACATGGGAAAAAAGACATGGTTGAAGTTAGAAGGTGTCCGTAGAAGTGTAATTAACACAGTCCTGCAATAATTTTTAACATCAGAAGTGGACTATATATGTTGTCATGTTCCTTGTCCTATAGAACGCTCATATACTTCACTCTCTTTAAAGTAAGTCTGAATCTGTGTATTAATTTCATTTTTAAAGCATTTTCATATTTCCATGCAGCCCTGAGAAGACATGAGGACAGGAATTACTACTCCCATTTTACAACGAAGAAAGCTAAAACCAAAAGTCTTCTTAGATTCTGACCTCTAACATTAGCTTCTCCAAATATTCCCTTAAAGGACCAAGTCTAAGCAATTTCACAAGAAAATGAGTTTGCACAGATATTAAATTTGCTTTTTGACTGTTTTATTAAATACTCAAAACAGAATGGAAAAAGACATCTTGAAACAAATTAAAATACGGTCAGCCCTCCCTATGCATGGGTTTCTCATCCTTGGATAGAAACTCACAGACATGGAGGGTCAACTGTACTATTTTCCATCTGGCTTCAACCACCTGCAGATGGGGAGCCTGTGGACACAGAGAGCTGCCTGTATATTTGCCTCATGTGGACACTGGGAACCAGACCTCCTCCCACGTTGAAAGGAAATTATTCCATTTAAGAAGAAAACAGTGTCTTTTAAAATAAATGTAACTATTGAAAAGCACAAGGTGTCATAATTACCAGTAACATCCTTTTATGAGATAAAATGTCTTAACAGGCATCAAGAACGTAGATCAATGTCCAGCTCTCAGTGACTGCAATTATATTCAGTGACAAGATTAAGTGAAGTAACTAATCATTTACTGTATTTAAAATGCTGGCATCACAATTCGGATAATGTATTTTTAAAGGGGGATAATGCACTTTTAAGTTCTAAATTAATATTTGCAAAGAACTTAGAGACCCCTGTGATGTGCAAGTTGGATTTATACAAATGATCTGAAGGACAACGTCCACCCAGCCAAATGAGGGTAACCCTAGGGAAGGAAAGGGGTGCGAGATCGTCCTACGATACAGGGCACCAAACTGATTACTTTTGCTTGATTTTCAGGCAATCTGAATATACCAGCAGGATCCAAACTGCTCTGAAATGTGGTCTCACTGAAACAAATTGGTTTTGCCAGCAAGGTGGAAATGAATTCATCAAGTCTGTGTCACGAGCAGCCACACAGTGTGAAAACAGCCAACACTTCTCCTGTTGACTGACATCACTTCGCGGATTTAACTTCTGTGCTTCCAAGCCCAACCTCTTATATCCTCTCTCCAGGCATTTTACATTTCACTTGCCACTCTCTACTCTCTAAAAGCAGAGAAGCAGCTTTGCGAGAAGTAGTAAAATTATGAGAATAAGCTGGAAGAAATGTTTTGGATAAAGAGCTGGTAACATTTAAGGCAAATTGCTCTGGTATAAATTCAGTCCTGTACTAGCACCATCTCATAGATCACAGAGTAGCCGGTGGGTGAAGTTGATGGGATATTGATTCCAGCAGGAAAATAAAGGGCTATAAAACAAAAGATGATTAACACGAAATCCTTGAGTAAAGCAAAGTCTTAATAGACTGGGAGCTGTTAAATCAAAGAGTGGGTGAGAGGACTGGGCTTTCAGATCACTTACAACTGAATTCTTTTCATTGTGTATTAAAATTCTCCTGTGTGTTTTTACTTTCCTGTATATTATCAATCCATATTCCTCCAGTGAAAAACATCTGAAATTGCATGTGGGGAAAAGGAACCAAATCCGGGACACATCATCAATCAGAAAGAAGGAAACTCACAAAGCAATGGCAATCAGGGCCTTAAAAACCTATAAATACTGTCAGAAAATGAATATTTTTCTATTTCTTTCATTTCATTAAGTCCCACTAATGTTTCTCTACATACCACGTGCACCTCTCTTTTAATAAATTCTGCTGCAATGCACGTTACAGGTTGATTTGTTGCTTAAAATATGCAGTACTCAATGCACAGATGTACTTCTAAAATATTCTTCTAGCAAGTTTCCAGAGCCAAGTAGTTTTTTAGTCAAAATTACTCTACAAAGGAAATGCACCCCTGATTCCCTCCACCCTCTATCAACACACACACACCACCACCACCACATCACCAATACCACAAGCACACACATCACCACCACCACATCACCACTGCACTAGCACACACACCACCATCATCACATCACCACTGCACTAGCACACACACCACCACCACCACATCACCACTGCACTAGTACACACACCACCACCATCACATCACCACTGCACTAGTACACACACCATCACCATCACATCACCACTGCACTAGTACACACACCATCACCACATCACCACTGCACCAGCACACACACCATCACCAACACATCACCACTGCACTAGTACACACACCATCACCACCACATCACCACTGCACTAGTACACACACCATCACCACATCACCACTGCACTAGTACACACACCATCACCACCACATCACCACTGCACCAGTACACACACCATCACCACCACATCACCACTGCACTAGTACACACACCATCACCACCACATCACCACTGCACTAGTACACACACCACCATCACCACATCACCACTGCACTAATACACACACCATCACCACATCACCACTGCACTAGCACACACACCACCATCACCACATCACCACTGCACTAGTACACACACCATCACCATCACATCACCACTGCACTAGTACACACACCATCACCACATCACCACTGCACCAGCACACACACCATCACCAACACATCACCACTGCACTAGTACACACACCATCACCACCACATCACCACTGCACTAGTACACACACCATCACCACATCACCACTGCACTAGTACACACACCATCACCACCACATCACCACTGCACTAGTACACACACCATCACCACATCACCACTGCACTAGTACACACACCATCACCACCACATCACCACTGCACCAGTACACACACCATCACCACCACATCACCACTGCACTAGTACACACACCATCACCACCACATCACCACTGCACTAGTACACACACCACCATCACCACATCACCACTGCACTAATACACACACCATCACCACATCACCACTGCACTAGCACACACACCACCATCACCACATCACCACTGCACTAGTACACACACCACCACCACCACATCACCACTGCACCAGTACACACACCACCACCACATCACCACTGCACTAGCACACACACCATCACCACATCACCACTGCACTAGCACACACACACCATCACCACATCACCACTGCACTAGTACACACACCATCACATCACCACTGCACTAGTACACACACCATCACCACCACATCACCACTGCACTAGCACACACACACCATCACCACATCACCACTGCACTAGTACACACACCATCACATCACCACTGCACTAGTACACACACCATCACCACATCACCACTGCACTAGTACACACACCACCACCACATCACCACTGCACTAGTACACACACCACCATCACCACATCACCACTGCACTAATACACACACCATCACCACATCACCACTGCACTAGCACACACACCACCATCACCACATCACCACTGCACTAGTACACACACCACCACCACCACATCACCACTGCACCAGTACACACACCACCACCACATCACCACTGCACTAGCACACACACCATCACCACCACATCACCACTGCACTAGCACACACACACCATCACCACATCACCACTGCACTAGTACACACACCATCACATCACCACTGCACTAGTACACACACCATCACCACCACATCACCACTGCACTAGCACACACACACCATCACCACATCACCACTGCACTAGTACACACACCATCACATCACCACTGCACTAGTACACACACCATCACCACATCACCACTGCACTAGTACACACACCACCACCACCACATCACCACTGCCGCTAGCACTGCCACTACCTCAATCCCACTAAATATTATTACTCCGGAAGCTCCTTTACCCAGGAAATCAGGCATTCTTCAAGACTTCATGGTTTCATTACACAAGGAAAGAGGCAGCTTTTGTGAAACAGAGTCAGAACTATTAGGGAAGTAACTACAGAGCTTACTGTGTCCAGTCAGCCATGCAGAACTGAGAGTTAAAGGGACAGCATTACGAGTCCATGTGCCTGCGTTCCAGAGCAGAAACGCTCATCACAACTGAAAATTGCAAGTTCCTACTGATGGAAGGACTTTTTTCCATAAGACCTCAAAGGCCCTGCAGTACCCTCAGATAAAAATTAAACATTTGGAAATATTAAAACTAGGTTTGCATTGAGTCTTACCTTGGGGGAGCTTCAGCGGAACTATTGATAAAGACAAAATAATTCTTGCAATGACTCTAATCGTTACCATTCTACACAAAATATCAATGACCGAAAACACCGTTTGACATGGGCAAGATTGTATGAAAAGACTAATTATACAAAGCAAGTCGATTCAACTATTTACTTTCCCAATGTTTCTCTTCTACCCATTTCACGGGAGTTTTCCCTTGACCTCTGTGGAATATCATGAAACGCCAAATCCAAGTTTCGTTCTTTGGACATACACCTCTCTAATTTAATGCAGGGCTGCCCGACACAGCAAATAAAATCATAGACACCTCATTAAATTCTAATTTCAAAAAACAATGAAAAATACTTTAGTGTAAGTATGTCCCATGCAGTATTTAGTAAATACTTACAACTTTTAAAATTATGTGTTGTTTACCTGAAAATCAATTTATCTGATGTTTTGGGTTTTACCTGGTAACTTTAATTTTACTCTCTGATGATTTACATTGTATTTTAGAACTTGCTCCATCATTAAAGAAAATAAAACAGCTGTCAGGGATAGAACAGCTGGAGAAATCACAATTTGTGAATGAGAAAAAGTACATGAAGGCCCTTTACAGCCTTATATGTGTAATACCAGTAATTCCCAATGGGTCATGGCAAAAAAGAGGGAGGGGAGAATTAGAATCATTGAGGAACGTTTACCTGAGACTAAAACCACTGCATTGTACAAATATTATGCAGGTCTTTCCCATTTTTATTTTCATCTTGGAGGGCGGTGGTTATAGGCACCAGCTTTGGAGTGAGACTGACCTGTTGAACCATGGCTCTGCCTCTTCCTAGCTGTTCGATCCTAGACCAGGCATTTAACCTCCCTAAGCCTCTACTTTTTCATATTTAAAATGAAAGCGGTGATACCCATCTCATGTGGTAAGAGAAAGCACTGATAGCGGTAGTCCTCTTTCTAAAGCACTGGAACATGACCCGGCTTAAGGTGAGCCCTCTCTAATCGAATGCTGTCATTCTTGTCATATTGTGCAAATGTTTTCACCATGCCTGTTAGCAACAGATAAAGTTCCCTGGCAATAATCGTCACATAAAATGTTCCACCTACTTTATCTAGGAGTCAGCTGGGGTGCAAATGAGAAGGGCAAGCAGCCACTTGTAACTTGCAGAATATCAGGCTCTACAGGAGCATTTATTCTGAAAAAAGTCAGGACTCCAGGGAAAGTCAAGCTCCATTCACAGCCGTTTCTCTCCTCATCTGTCCTCGTGCTGACTCTCTTTAGAATCTCTCTGGATGGAATTCCTTCCCAACTCCAATGGACAGAAGCAGTGAGTCCGTCCAGTCGGTAAGTCAAACAGTCCTTCGATGACTCCACTCCAGGGTGTGCTCTGTGTGATCAGAACAAGTGCTTCAGCCTAACACACCTACACATTCGAAAAGGTTTCACACAGCCTCGTTCTGCTCTTAGACGCCAACACTCCCCACACCCAATCTACCACAAAATAGAACAACAGAATCAGCCAAACGCCCTCTCCACGGAGGCGAAGGACACAGGGTCAGCCAAACCCCCTCTCCACCGAGGAGAAGGACACAGGATCAGCCAAACCCCCTCTCCACCGAGGAGAAGGACACAGGATCAGCCAAACCCCCTCTCCAGCGAGGAGAAGGACACAGGATCAGCCAAACCCCCTCTCCAGCGAGGAGAAGGACACAGGATCAGCCAAACCCCCTCTCCACAGAGACAAAGGACACAGAATCAGCCAAACTCTCTCTCCACGGAGGCGAAGGACACAGAATCAGCCAAACTCCCTCTCCACGGAGGCGAAGGACACAGAATCAGCCAAACTCCCTCTCCACAGAGACAAAGGACACAGAATCAGCCACATCCCCTCTCCGTGGAGGCGAAGGACACAGAATCAGCCAAACTCCCTCTCCGTGGAGGCGAAGGAGCTGCTGCAACTGACGGAGGGACCGTCCAATTGCTTGGAGGGTCCGTTCAGCCTGTGTGGGCCAAACCTCTCTAATCATTGACCCTGGAGGCTTATATTGCATTTTCAGGCATATTACCTTATTAGAGGAAACAGGACAGCTGCTTCCCTGAAAGAAATACGGGCAAAGCTCAATTTGTGAAGTGTGTTTCATTTCAAAGGCTGTAGCTTACAGGCAACATGGATTTTGCAGGACCAACTTGTAATGCAGTTTCAAACCCACCCAAAATCTGGAGTTTCTCTTGAAGATTTTTACCTTTCTAACATACTTAAGGAAGTGAAGAATTACTCATAATATTCTTTGCTACCTACAGTGCCGGCAGGTGCCAGCACTGTTAAAACTGCTGTAGGTGGCGGGTGCTTTGCCCCCTGTGCCCCAACACCACATGAATATTTTCCAGCTGATCACTTTTAAACTTTTAACAGACACCTAGAATTATGCCGCTGAAGAGCAAATAGATAAGTACACAACCTCTTGAGGTTTCTTACAGAAAGAAAAAATGTTTTCCTAGGACTTAGTAGTGAAAACACTTTTGCAAAAATTTTGACAATGAGAGGACTCTGACACAGAAACATTACGACGCAAAACAAATCTGACCTAATCGGGTCCATCTTGCCTCTAGCCTCCAAGCTGCCCTTGCTCATCCTCGAGTGTAAGCCACACTAACTATGGGATCGAGTCCATCTTGCCTCTAGCCTCCAAGCTGCCCTTGCTCATCCTTGAGTGTAAGCCATGCTAACTTTGGGAGGAATTTAGGTAATAGTTTAACTTTGAAACAAAGATGATAACAGCCTTCCCTGAAACAACCCCCTCCTTGCCTGGGGACCAGATGACCTTTGGAAAATTAACAAATTAGCCACAAGATTAGAAATTATGGCTCAGGAATCATGCAACCGGAGGCCACAAAATCACGGACCTCTCCAGTTGTTCCTGTGGATAACATTACTATTGTAACCCTAAGATTGGTGTTCAAGGTGTTTTCAGACGCTGAATTTTGATGGACCAGCTGGCACCACGTAGAAGGGTAAACTGGCTCATCTGGTATTGTGGCCCCCACCCAGGAACCAACTCAGCACAAGAGGGCAGCTTCAACTCCCTGTCATTTCTTCTCCAACCCAGCCAATCAGCACTCCCCATTCCCTAGCTCCCACCCCACCAAACCAGCTTTCAAAAATCCTAGCCTCTGAATTTTCAGGGAAGTTGATCTGAGTCATAAGAAAGCTCCAGTCTCCCTTTTAGCTGGCTCTACGTGTATTAGACTCTTTCCCAGTTGCAATCCCCCAGTCTTGACAAATGGGCTCTATCTTGGCAGTGGGCAAAAAGAACCCCTTGGGTGGTTACAGTGGTCTGTTTGTTTCAAAGGCACTCTCATTTCCAAACTCACTAGTAGAGAACACCCACACATGGACAGATGCACACCCTTTGTTTTCATGGCATTCCTAAGATGCTCTTTCAGAAACCATCCTTTCCCCTGGTGTTTATGCAGAGAAGGAGATGACTAGATGGTAGACATATTACACCTGCACCTTAGTGGTACCCATCCTTCCATCCTCCACATTCCCCTCCAGAGTGCTCCCTTCCTGGTCCTCTCACTAGTCCTATATTCAATACAGAAACAGGGAGAACTAAGGGTGATGGCAATTCTTGTCCTGTGAATTCTGCCCTCTAGCCCTCTGTCAATGTATCCAGCAGCAATGCTCAGAATGTCTAGGGGACTAATCTATCACCCCTTCAAGTGCACAGGTTAGGAGTTGGATAATAATACTTGTATCCCTTAAAAATTATCAATAATTTTGATTATCTTCAAAATTTAAGGTCAAGAATGCTAAGATCAGAAGGATCTCCCAGGCCCACCACTAGGCAGTGGTGCAGGGCTTTAAATAACATGATCAAGATCCTTGCTCATGAGGCACAGGCACTCCATGTATAAAATGTCTGAATTTTAGATTTTCAAGGTGTGTAAACATGTTAAACCACATACAGGTATTTTTTGGTATGGTGCAATTGAGATTGTAAAATGCCTAATATTTGCTGATTACTTCTTTATATTTAGTGTATCATGCCTTTTAGATGAATGCTGAAATTTAAAAGAATACTTTTGACCAGAGATGGGCAGTGACGCATCTTAAGTAGCATAGAATATCCCTGAATTTAGAAACAAGTAGAGGTGGCTTGTAGCAAGGTCATGTTTTAAAAACAGTGAGGAGCAACAGTCCTTAACCTCTCTGATCAGAAATACAGGTCTTATGTGAAAAGAAAAAAGGAAAACAAAAGGTAAAATCTCCAGAAAGAAGGAAGACGCCGAGAGCATCTGGGACTGCCTTGTTAACACAGCCTTGGGAACGCTGTGATGTACTTTATTGCAGGGATGGCACAGACATCGAATACATCTAACTATAATCACATAGCTACTGGCTCTTTAAGTTCATAGTGGGTAATATTAAAAAGAAAAAACACTCTTCCAAGGAGGTCATTGGCTACAAAGTAGATATTTTATATCCTCCTCAAAAATCAATTCTCCTTCAAAGCAAATTTGTCCACCCAACCCTCTGATCACGTAGTTGGCTCTCCTGGCAACCAGCCCCATTCTGAAGCTATCTAGGGACCCATCAAGGGTCCTTACTGTAAACTCAGGCACGGTTGTCAGTGGTTTATTATGAACAGCAAAAGATGGTCCTCCCACCCCGTCTCCCAGAAAATTACAAGGGCTGTGGGAACTCTGTGCAAAGAACCTGGGACAAAGGTCAAACACATATTTCTTAGGATGCCGCAGATCACACCACCGTTGAGCACTACGGCGACTCGAAGCAAGAAGCTTTCGTCTGAGCCTACTAGGAATGAACACACCTTGTCACGACATTGAGATTCAGGCACCATGTTTAGCCTACGGTGGGAAACGAGAAACTTGGGACCTAAAAGATTGGGTTTCTTTTTATCCTATCCTAACAACAGGCAATCACAGAGTCAGTATGCTGGGCACTGCAATGGCATAACATCAAACAAAACTCGCGTACTCAAGGACCCTGTTCTACTCTGTGGATCAACAGTTGTGGTAAGCAGAAGTACAACAAATTGTAACTTTTTTTTTTTTAGATGGAGTCTCGTTCTTGTTGCCCAGGCTGGAGTGCAGCGGTGCAATCTCGGCTCACTGCAACCTCTGCCTCCCCATTTCAATAGTGCTCCCACCTCAGCCTCCCGAGTAGCGTACACGTCACCACACCTGGCTAATTTTTGTATTTTTAGTAGAGACAGGGTTTCACCATGTTGGCCAGGCTGGTCTCAAACTCCTGGCCTCAAGTGATCCGCCCACCTCAGCCTCCCAAAGTGCTGAGATTACAAGCATCAGCCACCGCACCCAGCCCAAATTTTCTTGATAGATCTAATCTGTCAGTCAGAAAGAGAGTTGTTGAATACTGAACCCACCTTAAACACTAGCAGGGTGGACAACTGTGAGATTCATGTGTTCATTGCTCACATACTCTGAAGTGCCTACGCTGTGTCGCCTACTAGGTGGTGCGTTCTGAAGGGTGGCAACAAAGTCTCCCCTGCAGCCTGGCAATAGCTTGTAGATCCTATACCCAGCCCCAGCTGCAGGAAGCTGTTAAATCCTAGGCCCAGCCGCAGCTGCTGGAAGGTGTCTCACTGCATTTTTCAACATTTGGGCTGCGTCAGCCACCTCCAGCCACACACCCACCAGCACTCACATGTGCAGTCACCTGGAAATCAGAAAAGTATTCTCACTCAGTCCCTGAAACAATTTAAAACTGCGTGACTTGTCTCCAGCGTCGGCCATAATCAAACGGCTAAGTTGGCAGCGTGGTTGTACTTTGTCATGTTTTCCCTTGTCCTCCAGCCTGACCCCCTCCTACCCCACATCACTCCTCCCAAGCTGACCACCAGGGGCCCTGCCAGGTGCAACTATGCCCCCACCTTTTAATATTGTTTTTTGAGACAGGATCTCACTCTGTCGCTCGTGCTGACTTTACATTTTTTAAAACTCTTTCCCTTGCTCATTTCCCTTCTTCCCTCCACTGCATCTGAAACCTGCCCAAGGTAACAGCTAGTTAATTTCAGATGAGATTGAGGAATTCTGCTTGACTTCTTCAGGTCGTATATTTGCATTTGCTGAATGCATTCTCAGCAAACAAGCCTTATGCAGTTTGCTTTAGGTGGTGCCTGTTCCAGCACACACAAGCCATGAGAAGTTCAGAAAGCAAGTGGGGTGGAGGCGGCATGGTCAGCAGTTAGGAGCACCAGCTCCAGAAGCAGGTGATTTGGGTTAGAATCTGCCCCACAGCTTACTAGTTTAGCAATTTCCCCTCTCTGTGCTCAGTCTCTCATCTGCAATTGAGAGCCATAACACCTAACTCAGAGGATTGTTACAAATATTAGATGAACTGATACAGGTAAGAAGCTTAAAACAGTTCCTGCTAAGAACACAATCAATGTCACTTATTATGTTACTATCAGTAAGACGGACGACATAATTTGCGAGGCCCAGTACAAAATGAAAATGCAAGGCCCCTTGTTCAAACTTCGTTAAGAATTTCAAGACCAAAGCCACAAACCATTAAATCAGGTGCAGGGTCCTGCTAAGCATAGAGCACTTTTGAGCGCACGGCCACACATTCACAGCACCAATCCTGCCTCCCAGCTTTAGAACAAAAGCACCTTATTGCCCTAAGATCCAGGGAGTCTTCTGGGTGATCATTGAGAAAAAAATCCTGGAAACGCATCTTTTGTTTGCCTCTGGGAGAGTGGGGACTGGCAGGAAAACATAGGTAGCACTTTCCAAAAATACAAATAAAATTGGCCCAGTGCAGTGGCTTAGGTCTGTAATCCCATCACTTTGGGAGGCCAAGGTGGGTGGATCACCTGAGGTCAGGAGTTCAAGACCAGCCTGGCCAACATGGCGAAACCCCGTCTCTACTAAAAATACAAAAATTAGCCGGGCGTGGTGGCGGGCATCTGTAATCCCAGCTACTTGGGAGGCTGAGGCAGGAGAATGGCGTGAACCCGGGAGGCGGAGCTTGCAGTGAGCTGAGATGGCGCCACTGCACTCCAGCCTGGGCGACAGAGCGAGACTCCGTCTCAAAATAAATAAATTAATTAATTTAATTAAATGTAAAACCCCCCAACCCCCAAAACATCCCACAGTAGGTTCTGCAAGTGGCTATCTCTTGCACAGCTTTTTGATGGAAGATCAGGAACAAAAATCACTTCGCATATTTCACTAAAACTGCTCCTTCAGTGATGAAATCTTACAAGAAATCCATGTTGGTCATTCACCATAACCTCCTGCAAACAAAAGCTTTTACTACATAAAAGGAATGTTGGGACAAGAAAGTAGATTTGTAATAAGTTTGCATTGCATGTGAGATTAAAAGAAAAGATGGCTCTTTAGATTAATTTATTGCTAAAGGCATAACCTTTACTGTTTAATGTTGTGTTTCAATTGCCTGTCAAACTGTCAGAAAATAGAGCCTGAGTCCACAGCTACATAAACCAGTTTTACTTTCACCAGCAATTACAGTTTTTTAATCTTTTTTACCAGTTCATTTTCAACCTCTTTTTATTTTATCACTTGCAGTCAAATCTCAGCAATTTACTAATACAAATGTGATCAAATGCCTTCCATTTATCTTAAAGATCTAAATTCTGATGAAATAAGACTATGTGATCAATACGAATAGCATCCTGTATCCAGTCCCAGACCCTTGGTTGTAAATCATGATAGGACAGTGTCTTCCCAGAGGCTGAATCACCGGAACCAGTTCACATTGCTTAGTACCAGATCACAAAATCTTCATGAGTCATATTACTTTTTCCTTTTTTCTTCACTTCACATCTTAGTAAAAACACATTCATTTTCCAAACTCATCATTTCCAGCAGCATTCATTTCAACCATAATTTCCTGGACAATCTATTCATTCAGGTCCCTTTTTTGGAGTTTGTATTTGACTACGCTGCACTAAAGCCTGCCTTTTTTTAGAACTGTGCTCATCGGCTACATAACCCCTGAGAAAAGGTTAATATATCCCCTTAAACATTCTTAAGTGCCAAATCTCTCCTATTCCATGAGCTTAAAACCATATCAGGTAATTTCAGATCACTTGAACTATGGTTCCGTGCTGTGTCCCTCGGCTCTCTCCCATTCTCCTTGCCGTGTCTCTCGGCTCTCTCCTATTCTCCGTGCCGTGTCCCTCGGCTCTCTCCCATTCTCCGTGCCGTGTCCCTCGGCTCTCTCCCATTCTCCTTGCGTGTCTCTCGGCTCTCTCCCATTCTCCGTGCCCTGTCCCTCGGCTCTCTCCCATTCTCCGTGCCGTGTCCCTCGGCTCTCGCCCATTCTCCGTGCCGTGTCCCTCGGCTCTCTCCCATTCTCCTTGCGTGTCCCTCGGCTCTCTCCCATTCTCCGTGCCCTGTCCCTCGGCTCTCTCCCATTCTCCGTGCCGTGTCCCTCGGCTCTCTCCTATTCTCTGTGCCGTGTCCCTCGGCTCTCTCCTATTCTCCGTGCCGTGTCCCTCGGCTCTCTCCCATTCTCCGTGCCGTGTCCCTCGGCTCTCTCCTATTCTCCGTGCCCTGTCCCTCGGCTCTCTCCCATTCTCTGTGCCCTGTCCCTCGGCTCTCTCCTATTCTCCGTGCCCTGTCCCTCGGCTCTCTCCCATTCTCCGTGCCGTGTCCCTCGGCTCTCTCCCATTCTCCGTGCCGTGTCCCTCGGCTCTCTCCTATTCTCCTTGCGTGTCCCTCGGCTCTCTCCCATTCTCCGTGCCGTGTCCCTCGGCTCTCTCCTATTCTCTGTGCCGTGTCCCTCGGCTCTCTCCCATTCTCCGTGCCCTGTCCCTCGGCTCTCTCCTATTCTCTGTGCCCTGTCCCTCGGCTCTCTCCCATTCTCCGTGCCGTGTCCCTCGGCTCTCTCCCATTCTCCGTGCCCTGTCCCTCGGCTCTCTCCCATTCTCCGTGCCCTGTCCCTCGGCTCTCTCCCATTCTCTGTGCCGTGTCCCTCGGCTCTCTCCTATTCTCTGTGCCGTGTCCCTCGGCTCTCTCCCATTCTCCGTGCCCTGTCCCTCGGCTCTCTCCCATTCTCCGTGCCGTGTCCCTCGGCTCTCTCCCATTCTCCGTGCCGTGTCCCTCGGCTCTCTCCCATTCTCCGTGCCGTGTCCCTCGGCTCTCTCCCATTCTCTGTGCCGTGTCCCTCGGCTCTCTCCCATTCTCCGTGCCGTGTCCCTCGGCTCTCTCCCATTCTCCGTGCCGTGTCCCTCGGCTCTCTCCCATTCTCTGTGCCGTGTCCCTCGGCTCTCTCCTATTCTCCTTGCATGTCCCTCGGTTCTCTCCTATTTTCATATTCTCCATCCTGTGTCCCTCAGCTCTTTCATGTTTTCCATGCTGTGTCCCTCAGCTCTCTCCTATTTTGGTTGACAAGAATAGCATTAGATTAATTTTCAGCTTTCAAAAAAAAGAGACAAACTTAAAATTTTTTAATATACCTCTTATAATTCTCAAAAACTACATTTTTTAAAAAATGTGCCTCTGGAATCAAATGATTTAAAAGTCTAATTTTTACACTTTTAGTAAATAAAACTAGTAAAGAAATGTACTCTTCTGTGGTCTTTAAAACTCCTCTTAGCAAGCTATTTTTATAAATAGGCTGTCCTGACTAATGATTCTTGGGCTATAAGGTGGCGTGCCCACCTCCCTCCCATTCAGTTCTTGGGCACCTTGTCTCTGATGAGAAGATCAATAATAATTAGGAGATGATTTTTAAGTTTACTTAAGTGCACTGCAATTCCTCTGGCTTCTTTACATAACTGTGAATGATGGTGACCCTGAGACAGGACGCTGGGGTTCACTAGGAGAAGTGACACCTGCCGTATAGTCACACATGCCCGCCCTACCCCAGTTTCATGCAGTGCTATCACAATGGCTGTGAGGGGGTGTATATCCTTAATTCCAGACCACAACTACTAGCAAAGCGACTGGGGGTCCACAGTCATGCAGGGGAAAGCACAGGACTTGGAGAAGTGGTGGCCAAATGACTAACTCAAGGCTGGTGGCCCACAAATCTGTCTTCAAATCCATGACAGGGACCCTTAAGGGGAATAGAAAAGACAATTGTCAATGAGAGTTGTATGCCTATCCCCCAGCACCCTGTGGACTTGCTGAGAACAAGGGCCTTGTTTTCCTCGCCCTTTGTGGCTGACACGGTGCTGGACACAGCTGCAGCCTATAACTTAGGGTGATTCGATCAACGATCTTGTCTAGAGTGGGAGATAGCTGGGAGCAGTGGTGAAATAAGAACATGAAAACGAAGGTTTTGTTAGCAGAGAAAGGTATGGAAGACAGGCCTTAATGGGAATAACAACAGGAGATTGCTGATATCTGAGGGATTGATGGGAGTGACAAGAAAAAAGAAGTAAACAAGCGGAGTCATGGGAAAGGCACCAAGGACAGGTTTCTTAAAAAGAGCTCTGAAGCTCACCAGTAGCAACAAAATGGTGGCATATTAAAAGCTGAGACAGTTTCAACCAAGGGGGTGTTTAATCATCATATATGGGAAGTGCTAGAATAGTTTCTGGTGGGGAATCCATTTTTTAGTTCAAAATTGATGTTGACCTCTGAACATCTAGTCCCAATCAACAACCCTTGAAGCTTCAGCAGACACTATGTCAAAGGCTGCTTAGAGAAGACATCCAGGAGACACTATGTCAGAGGCTGTTCAGAGGAGACACCCAGCAGACACTATGTCAGAGGCTGTTCAGAGGAGACACCCAGCAGACACTATGTCAGAGGCTGCTCAGAGAAGACACCCAGCAGACACTACGTCAGAGGCTGCTCAGAGGAGACACCCAGCAGACACTACGTCAGAGCCTGTTCAGAGGAGACACCCAGCAGACACTATGTCAGAGGCTGCTCAGAGAAGACACCCAGCAGACACTATGTCAGAGGCTGCTCAGAGGAGACACCCAGCAGACACTATGTCAGAGGCTGCTCAGAGAAGGGACCCAGCAGACACTATGTCAGAGGCTGCTCAGAGAAGGGACCCAGCAGACACTATGTCAGAGGCTGCTCAGAGAAGACACCCAGCAGACACTACGTCAGAGGCTGTTCAGAGGAGACACCCAGCAGACCCTATGTCAGAGGCTGCTCAGAGAAGAGACCTAGCAGACACTATGTCAGAGGCTGCTCAGAGAAGAGACCCAGAAGACACTATGTCAGAGGCTGCTCAGAGAAGGGACCCAGCAGACGCTATGTCAGAAGCTGCTCAGAGAAGAGACCCAGAAGACACTATGTCAGAGGTTGCTTAGAGAAGGGACCCAGCAGACGCTATGTCAGAGGCTGTTCAGAGGAGACACCCAGCAGACACCATGTCAGAGGCTGTTTAGAGAAGACACCCAGCAGACACTATGTCAGAGGCTGTTCAGAGGAGACACCCAGCAGACACCATGTCAGAGGCTGTTTAGAGAAGACACCCAGCAGACACTATGTCAGAGGCTGCTTAGGCAAGAGACCCAGCAGACACTATTTCAGAGGATGTGTAGGGAAGACACGCAGCCAGAAGGGTTTGGTTATTGACAAGATAAAATGACCAACCTGTGTTTTTAGGATGCATTGTATGAAATCACCTTCCTTAGAAATATTTGATAAAATATGCCATCTTTTATGCTGAGCAAAAGATATCAGACACAAATGAATACATATTGTGTGATTCCACTTATATGAAGTTTGAAAACCAGCAAAACCAATCTATAGGGACACAGAGCAATTGGTGGTTTTCTGGGGCTGAAAAATTACTGGTGAAGACTGACTGACAAGGGGCAAGAGGGAACTTCTAGAGTTACAGAAATGTTCTACACCTTGGGTACACCAACACATACATTTGTCAAAACACACTGTACTTGATCTTTAAAATGTAGGCCTTTTGTTGTATATAAATTATATACCTCTTAAGTTGATTTTAAAAAAAACTGTCTTTACTTAAATTTAGACTTTGAAACCCTTCAGAAAGTCCTAAAAATTCTGTACAATTAGTATTGAACACTAGGATACACATGGGCAACCAATCCTAGACAGCTCAGCACAGGACAAACAGAAAGGTCATCCTGCAACATGCAATCTAGATGACGAAGAAAGATAACTCAAATGAGACACCTCAGAGACCTCTGTTCTCCAGTTCTGGCTCTGATTTTCATGAATTACAAAGTAAGGAAGATTCAGAGTTAATAGCATAGCCACAATGTAAAATATATTTAGTTTGTTGAATATTAACATTTTACCATAACTATAATGTACATTTAGTTTGTTGATCATTAATGTTTGTTTCCTGTATGAAAAAAATGTATGCATATATAATTCTCGTTCTACATCTAGGTTCATTCATTCTATCTACTAATCCTTTTATGGCCTTTTAAAAGCTGGTTAAGGAATTTATAAGATGACTGTCTAGACCAGAGGAACTCAACTGACAATGGAAGTGATGATTCTGGCAGCTAAGCTGGGTAGATCTTACTCTTTACAGACTGGTGTTTCAAAAGGTCTTGCTCCTGTCGAGGGGTGAGTTACTTCACCTCTAGTACAAGCCCAAGGTATCCTAAACCAAACAGCACTAACAGGGCCCACCCGTCTCTGGGCAGCAAAATATTTTTGTTTGTTGGTGTTGCTATTTTTGTTTATAAATGTGTCGATTTTGTCTAATCTGTAGACCATTCTTTACTGAACATGAGGAACAAGGCATCTTTCAGATGTAGCAGAGTTCAGTGCAAAAGCACTGAGCTGACTAATAATTTGGAGACTTGGGTTCCAATACTGGTTCATCATTAACCAGAGGCATTGCTTCAGGCAAGTCAAGGGACCTCTTTAGATCTAATCTATAAACTAGGGGAAAAAGAATAAATGAAATATAAGAAAAGATTCCTTTAGCTATAAAAGTTTATGATTCTATATGTCAAAACCACCAGAAAATCTTAGACCTCACCTGGAACTTTAAAGACCAGAGTTCCCTACGAAGGGATTCAGGACCCTTCAGGACACATATAAACTCACAACAATGGACCTCATATGCCTGGAGGCTTAATTGACCTAGGTTGTTGCAAACGACCAAGCTTCTTTCTCTTATAAGGCTGAATAGAATTTCATTGTATGTGTATAGACCATGTTTTATTTATCCAATCATCTGATGGTCACTTAAGTTGATACCGTAACTTGGCTATTGTGAACAGAGCTGCAATGAACACGGGAGTGCAGACATCTCTCTGGCATAGATATGGGTTTTGTGTCAATACACACAAGCGGGATTGCCAGGTCATATGGTAATTCTATTTTTAGTTTTTTGAGGAACCTCCATACAGTTTTCCATAAAAGTTGTACTAATTTACATTCCCAAGAACAGAGTACAAAAGTTCTCTTTTCTCCACATTCTCACCAAAACTTTTTAATCCCTTCTCTCTTTTTTTTTAAATAGCCATGTTGAGAGGTGTGAGGTGCTGTCTCATTGTGGTTTTAACTTGCATTTCCCTAATGATTAGTGATATTGAGTTTTTTCTTTTTACATATATTTGTAGGTAATTTGTATATCTTCTCCTGAAAAATGTTTATTCAGGTCCTATGCCCATTTTTTAAATTAGTCTTATTTGTTTTCTAGAGTTGTTTGAGTTCCGCATGCATTTTGGATATTAGCTTCTTATCAGATATGTGGCTTGCAAATATTTTCTCCTAATTTGTAGGTTGTTTCTGTTGTTTCCTTTGTTATACAGAAGCTTTCATATTTCATGAAATCCCATTCATCTCTTTTTGCTTTTGTTGCCTGTGGTTGTAGAGTAAAATTGAAAATGTAATTGCCCAAACCAATTTCATGTAGTTTTCTCCCTATGTTTTTTTCTAGTAGTTTTACAGTTTCAGATTTTATGCTTAAGTCTTCGACCCATTTTGAGTTAATTTTTTCACATGATATGAGAAAAGGTTTCAATTTAATTCTTCTATATATAGATATCCAATTTTCTCAAAAACATTTATTAAAGATATCCATTTTATATTGTGTATTCTTGGCACACTTACGATCTTTTGTAATTTAGTTTTATAATTGATCCTTTGCAGAACCTGGAGAGGTGCTTGTGGTTTTGACTTGGCTGATTGCCTATTTAGAGTACAATTCAGTATGTTCTTCCAAACTCTGCTTCTGCTGCAAATTGTTAACTGAATCCAGAGGTTTATTTGACAAGACTATACCTGCTAGCATGTTCTCCCATCAGGAATCACATACTATCTAGTTGACTCTATCTCTTTTATGTTGGCAGTCTTTAATGCTCAATGCCTAGATCAGGGGTCAGTAAACTCCAGCCACTGGCCAAATTCTGACAATCAACTGTTTTATTTGTCCTATGAATGCAGCCAGACTCATTTATTTAATAATTATCTATGGATGCCTTATTGAAAATCAATTGTTCATACATGTGTTGGTTCCTTTCTTGGCTCTCTATCCTAATCCATTCATTGATGTGTCTGTTTTTCTTTTTTTGTTTGTTTTTTGATGTGTTTATTTTTATGGCAGCACTAAGCTGATGTAGTAGTATAGTTTGAAATGAGTAGTGTGATGCTTACAGCTTTGTTCTTTTTGCCCACGATTGCCTTGGCTATTCAAGGTTTTTTGCAATTCCATGTGAATTTTAGTTGTCTTTTTATTTCTGTGAAAATGGCATTGAAGTTTTGAAAGAGATTATATTGAATTTGCATATTGCTTTTGGTAGTATGTACATTTTAGCAATATTAATTCTTCCAATTCACAAGCATGGGATATCTTTTTCCATCTCTTCACTTTTAGTCTATATGTGATATATATATATATTTATTATACTTTAAGTTCTAGAGCACATGCGCACAACGTGCAGGTTTGTTACGCATGCCTATATGTGTTTTTAAAAGTAAGATGAGTATCTTGTAGGTAGCATATAACTGGGTCTTGTTTTTAATCCATTCAGCCACTCTGTCTTTTTATTGGAGCATTTACATTCAAGGTAATTATGAATGTTAAGGACTTACTACCTCCATTTTGTGAATTGGTTTCTGATTGTTTTGTAGATACTTTGTTTCCATCTTCCTTTCTTTCTGTCTTCTTTTGTGGCTTGATGATTTTCTTTAGTGGTATACTTTGAATTCTTTCTATTTTTGTTTTGTGTGTCTACTGTAGATTTTTGCTTTGTGATTAGTATGAAGCTTACATAAAACATTTTACAAGTGTAACAGTCTATTTTGACAGTTCATATAATTGTTATGCTATAACAGTTGTAGGTAGTCAAAGTCACACAACTCTCCACTGTTATCTCCCTGATATTTTACGTTTTTGATGTACGAATTTACATTTTATAATATCTATCCCTTGAAAATGTATTTAGCTAAGTTTTATTAATAATTTTGTCTTTTAACCCCCATACTAGGAATAAAATTGCCTTACACATCATCATTACAGTCCTAGAGCATTCCACATATGATTCTTTATTATGCCATTGAGTTTTGTGCATTTGTACATTTTCTGTTAATAATTATTGGCCTTTTATTTCAGCTTAAGAAACTCCCTTTAGCAATTCCTGTAAGGCAGGCCCAGTGATGATGACCTCCTTTGGCTTTGGTTTGTCTGGGAAAATTTTTATTTCTTCCTCATTTCACAAAGACGGATTTTCTGAGTAAAATATTCTTGGTTGGCTATTTTTATTTTCCTTCAACATTTTGAATCTATCATCCCATTATCTCCTGGCCTTCAGGGTTTCCATTGAAAAATCTGGTGAGAGTCTATTGAGACTATTCTAGGTGCTGTGTGGCTTTTTATCTCTTGCCACTCTCAGAATTTTTTCTTTGTCTTTTATTTGTGATAGTTTATTATGTGTCTTGGTAAACTCCTCTCTGGGTTGAATTTGACTGGAGACCTCTGTGCTTCCTATACCTTGATATTGGTATATATCCTCATATTAGGAAAATTCTCAGCCATTATTTTTTAAATATGCTTTCTTACCCTTTTTTGTCTTTCTTCTCTTTCTGGAATTTATATTATGTGTATATTCAGTCTCTTGAGGGTGGCACATATTTCTGCAGGCTTTCTTCATTCTTAAATTTATTTTTTTTAATTTTTGCTACTCTGATTGGATAATATCAAATGTTCTATCTTCCAGTTCACTGATTCTTCTTTTAGCTTGATCAAACCTGCTGTGGGAGCTTTCAGTTGCATCTTTTCAGTTCAGTCATTGTATTCTTCAACTCTTGAATTTCTGTTGGTTTTTAAGAATTATTTCTATTTCATCGAAGTTCTCATTTTGTTCATGTATTGTTTTCCAAATTTCATTTAATTTTCTATCCCTATATTATTGTAGTTCATGATCTTCTTTAAGAGGATTTTTCTAAACTCATTGTCTGTCATTTTATAAATTGTCCTTTCCTTGGGGTTCATTGTTAAATCTATTTTAGTTGATTTTTCTTTTTAGGGGTGTCATGATTTCCTGAGTCTTTGTTACCCTTGTAAGGACGTTATCCTTCTATCCTTACATTAGTGTCTGCATATTTGAGGTGATAGCCACCTTTTCCAGTTTTTGCAGGTATTCTTTGGCAGGAATAATTGTCACAGTGTAGTGTAGCCTGTGGTTCTGAACACATCAGCTCATAACAACCCTGAATATGTAGAGCTTATTTGGGGGTTCTTTCATTGATGGTGTGCTGCCTTTTCTGTGAGTTTGAATGGGGCAGCTGGCTGGGATCTGCTACCCAAGCAAGAGCTCAGCAAGACCACTAAGCTGAACTCTCCAGTGAGGATGGACTGCTGGATGGGCACTGCAATTTGCCTCTGATTAGACTGGGCCATGAAGTGTAGTATTCTCTGGCCAGTTGGTACCTCAATTTAAAGTCAGCAGTTAAACAGGGTTGCAGAAAGCACTCTGAGGTTAGGTGGAGTCACTGACTAGGATGGATGGGACCAGCTACTATGCTCGGTAAAAATGCACAGTTGAGGTTTGCCTACCTGCTTAAGTGAGGTCTTGGGGTGGGCTTTGAGACTAGGCTGAGCATTATTTAAACTCCTGGGTGTGCTAGGTCAAGTCCTAGCTCTTTGCTGAAATTTGCTGCGGTGGTTGTCCCCTTCCTTGGGTGGGATATGTGTGTGGGCTTTGAGGCCATGCAAAGTACTATTTAAACACTCCTCGGTGTGGCCAGGCATGGTGGCTCACCCCTATAATCCCAGTACTTTGGAAAGCTGGGACAACAAGATTGCTTGAGCCCAGGAGTTAAAGACCAGGCTGGGCAACATAGTGGGACCCCGTGTTTACAAAAAGTTTAAAAATTAGCTAGGTGTGGTGGCATGCACCTGTAGTCCAAGCTGCTTGGGAGGCTGAGGCTGGAGGATCACTTGAGCCCAGGAAGTCGAAGCTACAGTGAGCTGTGATCACGCCACTGCACTCCAGCTGAGGTGACAGAGTGAGACCCTATCTCAAATGAAAGTGATAATAGTAATAAACTCCTGAGTGTGACAACACTAGCCCTGGATCTTTGCCAAAATTTGCTGTAGTGGTTATCTCCCTCCCTGGACATGTTCTCAGGGTAGGGTCTGAGGCTGGTCATCTAAGGATTCAAGCCAGGTAGAACTTCCCACCGCTTCTGAGGGTGACCAGCTCAGATTTGCAGGTGGGTATGGTGTTAGCTGGTACTATTGATTGGGTGCTACTGCTGGCAGGTGTGCAGAGCTACAGCCAGGATCTGTCTGCTTGTCACTGTGGACTCTGCCTCCTCGCTTTGCTTCTATCTCACCCAAGGTGGTCTAGCCATGCCATTTCCCCTCTGTTCCTCCTGAGGTGAGACCAGAGTGGGCTTCCTGGGAAGCATCTCAGAATGCTAGGGAAGCTTCATGTCTGCCTCTGATTCTCCTTTTGCTCTGTAGGAACTGTAGTTTCTGGGGAATTCCATCTGCGAGGTGCTGTGCTGACTTAGGGGAGGAGGAGGAGAGACATGGTCAACATGGGATTGTTTTTCTTACCCTTTAATGTAGTGTTTATTCCTTTCTGGACCACACAGCTGACTCTGGCTTATTCCCACATGTTAGGGTTTTCACCAAGGTATTCTTGTCTGCAGGTGTTTGCTAGCTGAACTTTCTGTGTGTGGCAGGCGGCAGGAGATGGTAGTGAAGCCAGGGTCCTCTTATTCTGCCATCTTGCTGACATCACTCCAAATCACAATTATCAATTTTGCTGAATGCAAGTTACAACTGTAAAAACATTTCCAGAATTTTGAGAGCACATAACATTATTAGACCATCTAACGGATTTAAGGACCATCCACAGTATTCCATAAGCAATAGATCAAAATGTCATTTTAGCAAAGTGGCATTTCCACGTGGGGTCGCCTATGTGTTTTCTTACTTTCTTCAACACTGTTGCAAAGTTTACCTACTAAATGAGGTTAGCTAGAATGAGTTCTTTTTTTAATGGAGTGGCAAACATAGTAGCTGTTTCTTCCATTATATTCTCTCATAACTCTTTGGGCCCTGGGGCCACAATTATTTGTGACATGTTTGGATTTATAGAATTGTACTCTTCATAATTTAACTGTCTCAGGGCACAAGCACAGAGAACGCAGTCAGGAAATAAACATAGTCTAAAAGATGAATTTGTGATCTGCTCTGAGGGTCAGTAAGCTAGCCCTCTGCCAAACCAAGGCAGGTAGAGAATTCCGTGATGAGGCCTGAAGAACCACATACTAGAAGAAATTTTGTACATTGTTACCTCGAAGATCCCAAATGACCCTAAATATTGCCTGTAATTCAGCACGAAATGACAAGTTTATGCTAATTTTTTAAAGAAAGCACATGCTTTAGAATACGTTTAGTGAATGTTTCTGCTCTCTTGGTATAAACAGAGTACTGAGTTTGAACACTGAACCAACCTAGTCATTAAGCATTTCAGCAGTACCTGCTATAAGTAACCGGTGAAATAACACTGACTGTACTAACATATGACATTTCAAGTGTATTTCAAGGTGTGGCTCTGCTTGAATGACGGGTGATTGCTCTTTTAACACTGTGGCATTTATTACTAACCTGTCAGAAAGCTGCTTAAATAAGAATGATTGGAGCAGCATGTCTAACACTCTGGCCTTAATATAAAAACAACTTGAAAATAGGCATTTCTCTTTTTGTATCCATCCTTCTAATTACAAGCCTAAAAAGGTGTTTTCCTTTCTTCAAAAATATTTATGGCATACCCACCTCTGTGCTGGTAGTTGGGAAACAGAGAAGAGTGAAACAGGCACCTCACTACCTAATGGGGTTATAGTCTGGCAGAGAAGACAGACATTTCAAAATCATCTTACAAACAAGTCATAATCTGTGATAAATGCTATGAAGGCAAAGAAAGTGCAGAAACAAAAATAAGGGGCGTAGTTTAGAGACGGATGGGGGAAACTGTTATGAAAGAGATCTTCGAGGAAGTGAGATCTGATAAGCAGTAGTTATTCAAGCAAAACTCAGGTGAGTCTCTTAGGCAGAGGGATCAGCATGTACAATACTCCTGGGTCAGACAAGAGCTTGTTCAAGAAACTGTAAAAAGGCCAGTGAAAGCAATGACAGCAACCTGAAGCTCGAAAGTAGAGTGGAAAGATGAAACAGACACCACCAGCAACGCTAATGATCTTTTACTTTATACTAATTATAAGGGGAAGTGTATTTGCTCTGCAACATCAATCAGCTCGCTTCCAGGCCTCCCTGTGAGAGCACTTGCGTTTCCGTTCCCTCTGGTCTGCTGTACCAGTTTTCTTCACTAGCTCATTCATTTACCAGTGGGCAACCATAGCAAAACTATCACAAACTGGGTGACTTAAACAACAGGAATTTATTCTGTCTCAGTTCTGGAGGTCAGAAGTCTGGAAGCAAGATGACAGCATGGTCGATTCCTACTTGGGGACTCAGAGAGAGGAGCCGTCTCACGCTTTCCTCCCAGCTTCTGGTGGTTGCCGCCAGTCCCTGGCATCCCCTGGCTTGTGGCGTTGTCAATCCAGCCTCTGCCTTCACGGTCGCATGGCTTCTCCTGGAGTGCCTCTGTCTCTGTGTACACGTTTCCCTCATAGAATACCACTGTGGGCTAGGGCTCACCCTAAGTCAGTATGAGCTCATGTTACCTTGATGATATCTGCAAAAATCCTATTTCCAAACAACGCCATAGTCAAGGTACCAGGGGTTAGGATTTAAACAAGTCTTTTTGAGGGATACAATTTAACCAATAACAGAAGGCTATTGAAGGATTTTTACCAAGGGAGTGATATCGAGGCAGGAAAACAGGGTCTGGAACTTAAGGCCAATTTGTGCTGAATCGAGGAAAAACACCAGGGTCTGGGGGCCAATTGGTGCTGACTTCTCAAAGCTGGATCAAAAGGAGGACACCTGGGTCTGGGGGTAGGGAACCTAAGGCCAATTAACACGAACTTCCTAAAACTAAACCAGAAGGGGAAATCCCATCTCCCCACGCCGAGCAGCAAAGGATCAAATCTCCCTACAGCCCTCCCGCTTCCAGCACATCTCAGATGGAAAGAGAGAGTGCCCTGATTGGCCAAGCATGGGCCACCCCTTCCTCTGCATAGGGCACCAATTCACCTCAGCCTTTAATTAGCCAGGAACCAAATCCTTCATCCAGACAAGAGGTAACTTATAGGAGCCTCAAAAGGGGTACTTAAAACCCGGAAAACTGGCTCCTTCCCCCGCCCTGTGGAGTGCTGTCTTGCTTCAGTGACTCCAGCTTTCACACCTTGTGGAGGGCTGTCTTGCTTCAGTGAATTCAGCTTTCGCTGCTTTGTTCTTGTGTCTCGTTCCTTTGTTGCTTTGTGGGTTTTGTCCAATTCTTTGTTCAAAACACCAAAGAACCTGGACAACTGACACTCAAGGCCCTCCTTCCAGTAACAATATGATCCTATTTTCACTTAACATCACTTTAGCTACTTGACAGAAAACGGATCGGAAAGAGTCAAAGAAGAAGGGTGAGATGGATTGAGAGGCTATTTTGGATTCCATTTTGGTAGACGTGTTCTGAAAAATTTTCGTCATATTTATAAATATTATATAAATAAATATTTCTAAATATTTAAAACATTTAGCAAGGCAAGAAATAATAATAATATAATTAACTTTAAAGGGCATAAAAATATTCACAGGCCAAAAAATAAAAAGAAGACTTAAACCCCGAACGGTGAGCTATCACTGCGGCTGTGGAGTGATCAGGCAGCAGCCTCTGGGCCTGAAGGCTTGCATTTTGCATGATACACAGGACAGGAGGAGAGGCATGATCTCAGCCCAAAGAGGAAGTTACAAATAAGGTCTCCAAATAAAGCCAGCGCCCACAACATTGATGTAAATGTTTATATACTTTCTATAGATTATATAGAAAGACATAAAAATATATCTCTCTATATATATCCATCCACTGGTTTAAAAAGATGACAAAAGGTGACCAAAAAATGTCATCCTTAGTTTGGACTCAAAGTGACAAAAATAGATGTTTTTCATGACAACATCTGTACAGTTGACACGCTCTGGAGTTGGGTTTAAAATCATACCACGCAGTAACTCCAGGAAAGTTCAAACCGAGAAACTATTTTACACAACCTTGAGTCAGGAATGCCCAAGAAACAAAAACACAAATTCTCTGCGGAAGGTGCACCCTCAACATAAACCTTGACAGATTCTTGCACGTAAAGTCCAAACACTTAAATGTGAGCTTAATCCAAAATATGTTTTTGAAAAAGCAAAATACAAGAGTTAACGGAAACAACCAACAGCAGAAAAAACCACCAAAGACTTTCAAGTATAAAAATATTGGATACAAATTATAAAATAAGTATTTTTAAATTATCCAAAAAAGAAATTGAAATTATGAACTAGAAACAAAATGCTATACCAAAGAAAACAGGCTATTTGAAAAAAGAACCAAAAAGAACCTCTCAAACAGAAAATGTAATCACTCAAATTAAAAATTCAGTAGGTAAGATAAACAAAAGATTAATGTAGCTAAGAAAATGACTTATACAGAAACTACTAGAATGAAGCTCAGAGACATAATGGAGATAATGAAATGCAAAATATGAAAGAAGGTGAAGATACAAAAAGATCAGCCCTCAAAGACACAACAGGTTCTGAAGAGTGGCCAGAAGGCGAGGATTGGCCAAGCGTGGTGGCTCGCACCTGTAATTCCAGCAGTTTGGGAGGCCAAGGCAAGTGGATTGCTTGAGCCCAGCAGTTCAAGACCAGCCCAGGCAACATAGCAAAACCCCATCTCTATAAAATTAAAAATTAAAAATGAAAAAAATAGGAGGTGAAGATAGGGAAATAAGAGAAACCAAACATTTCTAAGCAGATTAGATGAAAAGAAACCCACATCTGGGCACAAACTTCAACTTCGGGCCACCAAAATTAAAAAAAAAAAAGACCTTAAAAATAGCCAGAGTAAAAAGTTTACCTTCAGTGAAATAACCGTTATATGAAAAACAATTTTTTCCAACAGTATCAGTGGATCCAGAACAAAGCACTAGCCTAAAATTCTGACAGAAGATAGCATCCATCTCAAGATGTTTGCTCAGCAAACTATTGTGTCATAATTAGGACAAAATAAACACATTTTAGGCAAACAGAATCTATGTTTAATATAATCAGACTCTTGCTAAAAGAATTGCTAAAGGAAGGCCGGGCGCGGTGGCTCACGCCTGTAATCCCAGCACTTTGGGAGGCCGAGGTGGGTGGATCACGAGGTCAGGAGATCGAGACCATCTTGGCTAACACGGTGAAACCCCGTCTCTACCAAAAATACAAAAATTTAGCCGGGCGCGGTGGCGGGCGCCTGTGGTCCCAGCTACTCGGGAGGCTGAGGCAGGAGAATGGCGGGAACCCGGGAGGCGGAGCTTGCAGTGAGCCGAGATCGCGCCCCTGCACTCCAGCCTGGGCGACAGAGCGAGACTCCGTCTCAAAAAAAAAAAAAAAAAAAAAAAAAAAAAAAAAAAAGAATTGCTAATGGAAATACTTCAGATAGAGTAAAATGATTCCATAAAAAGGGTCTGGGATGAAAAAAGGAACAATAAACCAAGAAACTGGTATAAATGAAATAATAAAAACACTGTAAATATGTGGAGGCAGAATCTAAATAACACACAAAAATACAATGTAAAGCAGGTGGCAATTGATGAGAATTAAGATACAGCATTGCTAGGAAGGAGAACAGATTCATTTTGGATTTTATTAAGATTAAGAGCAGCCACAGAATGATTTAAAAAAGGGTTTATGGCTTCCAAACCAGTAGAGAGGGTAAAAATAATTTTAAAATCAAAATTCAGTCAAAAAGGAGAGAAAGAAAGAGAGAAACAGAGAAAGAAAGAAGGAAGGAAGGCAGGCAGGAAGGGAGAGAAAGAGGGAGAAAGAGGGAAGGAGGGAGAGAGGGAGGAGAGAAAGAAAGAAAGGGAAAAAGAAAGAAAAAAGGAAAGAAAAGGACAACATAGTAACAGGAGGAAAATGTAAAGCACAAAACTAGATGATGACAATAAATCCAACTCTAAAAGAAATCATACAAAATATGTGGATCAAAATCATCAATTTAAAAACAAAATTTTAGACATAGTCTTTAATTCAGTAGTAAATTATATATAAGTGACATATTTGAAACACACAAGCTCCCTCTCTCTTCCAAACAAACTAGATTAGATGATAAGAGGCAGGAAAGAGAATGAACCTTTGCTTATAACCTACTGTAATGTACCCCCTCGTAATTTAAATTATGTCTCAGAGTTAGATTTTATTATTTCCATATTACAGACAGGGGATTGGGGTGCAGTGCTTAACGGCTGTACCCAGAGTCACACTTGGTAGTAATTTGCAGAGCAAAGATCTGCAAAGACTGGCTCTTGTGGACATCACAACAGTGCCATGTGAAACAAAGTGGCTTTCAGACCAGGACAGTGGTACTGAGATATTCTTATGATGCCCAAGTCACAGGTGAAAAGGAAACAGAGCTAATCTCTGCTGATGGTCCCATTAACGGGTTCTCAGTGTTTTCTGTTTTCATTTCTTTGGGGCAGTGAACACCCAGACCACTGAATTCAGAAATCTTTATATTGTAAACCACTTTGTTCATTCTCTACTAAATTCACCTGGTCTGTATAATTTGAAAAGCTGCATATTTTATTCTTTTTGATCAATTGTTTTTATTCAAAATGTTTCTTATTCTTTTTGATCAATTGTTTTTATTCAAAATGTTTTACGTAAGGAGTTCAACGTTTTCGTAAGAATGAGCTACCCATGCAGGCATCTACCTGCTCACTGGTGGGAGAGTGAACATAAATATTGTCCAGGGAAATTGAGAAGAAGGCAGCTGACATGTTTCTGCTAAGAAGAAGCCATCTCTTTCTTTCCATCTCTCTCTCTTCCTAAGAAAGGCAGATCAGGCCTAAAGCCCTAGCAGGTTAGCCGTGTTTCTTCTAGAAGTCAGGCCTACGATGGAGCGGTAGAAGCCAAAGGCAAGAGGAAAGAACTGGAACAGAGCTGGGCGCAGGGTGGCTAAGTCCACAACGTAAAAAGTTGAGGTCGTGTGATGTTTTTATTTCAATAGCTGACACCCTGCATTTTAAATAAGGCTTAACTTTTTAGGTACAAATTGTTAACCTAATACATTTTAATCTTTTTAAGATGATGCATAGTTTGATCTTGTACATATAAAATTTTACTTTTTGCCTGTCTCTAACTCGCTGACTAGCGGTTCTTCACCCTCTCCATATGTGTGTGTCCACGCACCTGTCTGTGAGTAGATACACGGAGAGAAACAATAAGATGTCTGACATGACGTTCACCTAATTTAATAATCAGAATTTCTAAGTAGTAGATTTTAGTTGGTATCTGTTTTCACTTTCACTTTGTTTTTTTTTTTTGAGCCGGAGTCTCGCTGTGTCGCCCAGGCTGGAGTGCAGTGGTGCCATCTCGGCTCACTGCAAGCTCCGCCTCCCGGGTTCACGCCATTCTCCTGCCTGGAGAATTCTCCTGCTGGGACCACAGGTGCACGCCACTGCCCCGGGCTAATTTTTTGTATATTTAGTAGACATGGGGTTTCATCGTGTTTGCCAGGATGGTCTCAATCTCCTGACCTCGTGATCCACCTGCCTCGGCCTCCCAAAGTGCTGGAATTACAGGTGTGAGCCACCGCACCCAAATGAAAATGCACCTTAATAAAATTTTAAAAAATAATTCATGCTTATTGTAGAACATTTAGAAAATGTTAAAAAGTATAAAAGAGCAAAATAGGTATCACGGCTAATTCTATGACTGTTAACATTTTAGTGAGTTTTCATTACAATCAACTTGAATGTTCAATTTGGACTCCTACTTTTTTTACATAATGTGTTTTTCTGTGTCTTTAATTATTTGGAGGCATGGAGAATGGGACTATATTCCAGGAGTCCGGAGAGTGAGGAATGATGGTGATCTGGGACTCTGGTTGTGGGAGTAGAAATGAAAGTCAATGAAGAAACTTGAGAAATATTTAGAGATAAGATTGACAGAACACAGTGATGGACTTGATGTGTATTTGAAATAACTTTACGTGTTTTATTTCCACAAATGTAAAGGTCTCATAATTTTGTCATAAATCACGCACAAAGAACACAAGGGCAACAATATCTTCACTGGAGACACATGCAAATTTCTTACAAAGTCAGCGTTTTAAATTGTGAATTCATGTGCCAACATATTTACTTAAAGGGTATAAAGAACCATGTTATGGGTATTATATTTTCTAATAATTTTACTCAACACTCTGAATGTGCATAGTCTATCCTAAAGATCAGGTAGAAATGACGGGATCTGAAATGATACAGGAGAAAAAGTCTTGGCTCTTAACCAGAGACTTTTATGGCATATTTCTATCTTTACTACATAACAGTGAAGTCTATTAAAAGTCCAAAACTGAAGCAAATTCACCTTTTTATAATGCTTCAATAATTGTGTTTTGAGGGTCTTTGCTACATACTTGAAATATATTTTCAAAGCTATCTGACTGATTTATGAAGAAATACACATGTGTTTTGTGCTTCACAAAAGCACATTTGGATATTATTAAACAGAAAAGATAAAATATTACATAGGTCTGAAGAATTAATTTTAAAATGTTTCTTTAAGATAAACAGTGTATCAACTATATCTTAAATGTCATCACTTTGGATGACCAACTAAGCAGATTTACAGACAACCGCATGGCTAAACAGGAATTATTTTGGTCTCTTTGTCATAAACTATTATGTCCAAAGACAGCAGCAGCATCTCCATCGACCCTGCAGTGGGAAATCTGCCCTGTCACAGTGGAATCTCCACGGGCAACAAGGGAAAGAATATACTTCACACTATGCATAATTCCTCAAAAGTTTTCTCATTTTGAGATTGGCTCAAAAACGATGTGCTAAATAAAATTCTAGCCATCACAGGTAAGGAAGAAGGAACTGTCAGCATTCCATCCTACGGGCTGTAATTCAGAGCTGCTGTACAAGTCACACGCTGTTCTTATCAGAAATCTGCTTTCTTAGCTTTTCTTTACACATTCCAACCTATCTTCACATATGCTGAGATTTCTGTGAGGAAGGGAGCACTCTAACATAAAATTATTGGTTGCTATTTTATGACTTGTCAGGTCTATGGCATTCAGAAATGCAGGCATGCATGCTGTGTGTCTTACCTGGCCAAGGCCCAAGTCAGCCAGACATGTGTCCCTGGGAATGGCCCCTCTGCTGATTGGCATTTGTCTGCAGGATGGATGCAGCCACCCCAAGACCTTCTGAATTCTCAAGGTTCCTTGAAGAACTGCAGGGAACTTTGCTTCTTTGATTACTGAAACTGGAAGATGCAGCAAACTCTTCCCAGGACAAAGAGCTGGAATAGAAAGGCAACCATGGCACTCACTGGCAACACTGTCTCCCCATGTGAAGGTCATTGGAGGTCAAGCTCCAGTAAACCCATCCAATAAACCTATTTCATGGAGGATTCATTCATTCATTAATTCTATAAATATTTCCTGAGGTTCTACTGTGTGCCAAGCACTATTCCCCACATCAGGACAGAATAGCCAACGAAAGAGTCAAAAACACCTTTGCTCGGAGCCTACATTTCCCATTTTGGAAGGCTTCTTGGGCCAAAAGAACCCAGAGAGAAGGACTCCATCCCTTCTCCTGCAGCACCAGAGAAGACCCTGCTGCACTCTACAATGGTCAAGTCCAGGAAAGAAAATTCAAGCTCCTGGTTATAAATGATAACTAACAACAAAGACTACAGCAACTGAGATGTTATGTTCCTTCTGCAAAGCTGAATTTCTCTAGTCTTAGTAAACATAAAGCTGCACTTTTCTTAGAAAAGCCAAGGGGAAATCAGAGGATGAATAATCGGAACCCTTGGAGTGAAGTGTAAGCCATCCGATATTTGGCTTATGTTTCACTGTCTGTTTCTTAAGAGGAGTTACCTTGTGTTCATTACCTTAGAGAAGAGAAAGACAGACAGAAAAAGAAAACTGTCACAGATGCTGGGAAAGTAAGCACTTGTATTAGTAACAGAAAACCACAGTAACGTGAGGAGTCACTCTCAGAAAGACTTTAAATCCTCTCTCACTCTCCAGCACATAGGAGGCCTAGGGATCTTTAGAGAAATCAGGGAGAAGGATAGATAATATCTCAGCACCATGACTCTCCCAGGAACATAAGATAGAATGTGAGGCAGGGGCCCCATCTTTCACCAGTTTCTACTCATTGGTAAGAAAACAAGGCTTGCTTTCTTATTTAAAGAACAAATCCTGTATCCACCATCTGAATTATTCTTGGCATCTGATGAGGGATGGAGACTACAGAGGCAAATTTGAAAGAAGAAATATTTTATTTTACAAGCTTGATTTGAATATAAGCCTTAAATTTATGTTGACCAAATCCAAGAATAAGATTATACAACCAAAACATAGCAAGGGGCAGGGGAAGTTTTGAGTTTTTTTCCTAATTACAAAGCCTACTAGGAGACTAATAATGGGGAAAACTTTCTCATGGAGCTGAATCCTGCAAAACCTAGTGATAAAGAACAAGAAAATAAGAATTGCAGTTTATTTCCATTCTCTTTTTCTTTCGTTATTTTATCTTTCTTAACCTATAATATATATGATTTTGCTTGTTCTAAAAGTGAGCTCACTAAAAGTGAGCCTTCGTTTTATGACAATTGTAGCCCAGATATATCTATTGGGAAATTTTTTATATGAATGCAGTGTCTATATCTATATAATATTCATTTTTGTAGTCTGTAGATCTGAATGGGTGACTAAATTAATGTTATGAACGGCTCACTTGAAATAACAAAGAGATAATTCCTTAATATATAAGCACAAAAATTAAAATCAATTTGCAATCTTGATCAAAGATATCAATAGTCACAAACAAGGCTGATTAAGAAAGCAACGTGAACATTCTGTAACTTGATCACAACCCATAATGAGTGTTGTCCAGAGGAGAGCCTTTTAGCAATTCACAAGGCCCTGTGTGCCTAACAGTTAATTCCTGCTTAGCCAGATTGTGCAGATTCATTCTCAGGCACAACATATAAAATGCTGGGAAATACCCCGATTTTTGGCTGCAGAACTGCAATTGAGCCATGAGGAAGACAGTCTCCGAGAAGACATAGGAGGGCACAGCTCTCCCATGAGGAAGACAGCCTCAGAGGAGACATAGGAGGGCACAGCTCTCCCATGAGGAAGACAGCCTCAGAGAAGACATAGGAGGGCACAGCTCTCTCATGAGGTAGACAGCCTCAGAGGAGACATAGGAGAGCACAGCTCTCCCACGAGGAAGACAGCCTCAGAGAAGACATAGGAGGGCACAGCTCTCTCATGAGGTAGACAGCCTCAGAGGAGATATAGGAGGGCACAGCTCTCCCATGAGGAAGACAGCCTCAGAGGAGACATAGGAGGGCACAGCTCTCTCATGAGGAAGACAGCCTCCGAGGAGACATAGGAGGGCACAGCTCTCCCATGAGGAAGACAGCCTCAGAGGAGACATAGGAGGGCACAGCTCTCCCATGAGGAAGAGAGCCTCAGAGAAGACATAAGAGGGCACAGCTCTCCCATGAGGAAGACAGCCTCAGAGGAGACATAAGAGGGCACAGCTCTCCCATGAGGAAGAGAGCCTCAGAGAAGACATAGGAGGGCACAGCTCTCCCATGAGGAAGAGAGCCTCAGAGAAGACATAGGAGGGCACAGCTCTCTCATAAGGAAGACAGCCTCAGAGGAGGCGTAGGAGGGCACAGCTTTCCCATGAGGAAGACAGCCTCAGAGGAGACATAGGAGGGCACAGCTTTCCCATGGCAAAGGGCTCAAGAAGACCTGGACTCTGCTGTGAAGAAGGAAATTGTCCCAGAAAGTCCAGAGCAAGAGTCCTCCCAAATTCTTTATCAGCTCATCCTAAGAGCTCACTGGATGGCTTCACGGGGGTCATTAATTCTTCTCCTCACTCAGGAGCTCTAGTCCACAAGTATCCAGTTTCACACACAGCTGCAAGACACTCCATTCTAGGGCCACAGTCCAGGATGCAGTCTTCACAGATTTTTTGATCAAATGGATCAAGAGTAGAGGGTCTGTCCATGAATAATAAAACATAGGGAGGAAATAAGACACATAGAATGGAATTCTCTCTTTGGGTTGAGAATATATATACCCAATAATTCTTTTTTTATTCCTTTGTAGGGGAAGAAAGGTTTCTTTTCCTCACCCATCACTAGGACTATGGCCGATGCCCCTGTAACAAAGTACAGATTGAGAGAAAAGTGTACACATGTATTTAAAAAGCTTTATGTGGCACAGGAGTCTTCATAAGAAAATGACCCAAAGAAACAGGAAATCTTGTGTATCATAGTGCTTAGTTAGGTTGGATGAACAGTGGACTCAGGTATTGGTACAATTGGACAGAGTGAGTATGCTCTCATGGAGATAAACTGGGGGAACTTAGCAAGGCCTGTGTGTTCAAATTCTTCTCTGTGTCCCTGTGTCTTCAGAGATAAGGATGTTTCTTTCTTCTGGGTATAAGGACTCTTCCTCTCAAATGAGGTCTTATGATCTGCTCCTGGGGGGTCAGAGAGTGACCTGCCTGCATCTGCTTCTTCTCAAATGCCACTTGTGATGCCCTTCCTGGGAGACAAAGCCATCTTTGAGTATTTCAGGATTCCAAAATAGACTCCATTCCTTGGATTTACCAAAAGCACCAGCCTAAAGGGCCTGTCAGGAAGTTCACCAGAAAGAGAAACCTATTTCCCTGTAAGGGAAGTGGCTGGATGGTCCCGCCCCAGATTCTCTGATGTGGACCTCACTTGGGATGCAACCCTGGTACAGCTCCTCCATCTCAGTCATTAGAAGTAAGTTCATTGAAAATGGTCTTCTGATACAGTCATTGCTGAATTGCAGTTTCAACTAATTATACCCCTCAGAATCTCCTTGAATTCTAACAACTAAGTAACTAAATGTCTACTAAGTACCTATAATTGTGCTGTCAAGAGTAATAAGTGAGGCCAGGCACGGTGGCTCTCGCCTGTAATCCTGGCACTCTGGGAGGCCAAGGCGAGTGGATCACTTGAGGTCAGGAGTTTGAGACCAGCCTGGCCAACATGGTGAAACGCTGTCTCTACTAAAATTACAAAAATTAGCTGGGCGTGGTGGAGGGTGCCTGTAGTCCCAGCTGTTAGGGAGGCTGAGGCAGGAGAATCACTTGCACCCAGGAGGCGGAGGTTGCAGTGAGCCAAGATTGCGCCATTGCACCCCAGCCTGGGCGACAGAGCGAGACTCTGTGTCATTTAAAAAAAAAAAAAGAGTAATAAGTGAATAATATGCAACATTATTCTTTCTACAGCTTCATATGCGTTGCATTTACACATGTTCTTATGTTTTTTATGAGACTTATATAGTGTGCAATGTGTATTTTCAACAGTGAAACTAAAAACTTCTCATGTGTCTTTCTTCTTTGGCCTTAAAAATTATTTTTTATGCTAACTAAATCATCTACATTATTACTCTGTGCTAACTAACATAAATAAACTAGTACACTATTCTCATTTACCCAACTTTTTTATACCGTTCCTACCAACAGTTCCAAATATAAGCTGTATTCATCATCAGTTAGTTCTAAAGAGTTTAGGTGCTCCCCCAATGTGCTCCTACAGCACCCTGAACCTCCTGCGTATGAGCTTTGATCATCCTGTATTGAAATGAGAAAATCCTGCATTTCCACTTTGTGCTAACCCCAGCATACCACGTCTGCAGAGTAGAGACTGTGTGTATCTTACTCATCCTTGAAGTTGCAGTGCCTGGGACCCCAGCATACCACGTCTGCAGAGTAGAGACCGTGTGTATCTTACTCACCCTTGTAGTCGCAGTGCCTGGGACCCCAGCATAACACATCTGCAGAGTAGGGACTGTGTGTATCTTACTCATTTGCAGTCACAGTGCCTGGGACCCCAGCATAACACATCTGCAGAGTAGGGACTGTGTGTATCTTACTCATCTGCAGTCGCAGTGCCTGGGACCCCAGCATAACACGTCTGCAGAGTAGGGAGTGTGTATCTTACTCATCCTTGCAGTCGCAGTGCCTGGGATAGGTGCTCAGTTGCTGAATGGCCACAGCCCGTGTGTTCTTTCTGTAGTGTGTGTCTCATTCAGAGGCTCAGCTGCAGACACAGGCTGAACTTTACACAAACTTCTTTCCCACCAGTCTGTTTCAAAGGAGCTCAACCATGCCCCAACATACTTTGACCCTTTTCAGTATCAATTTTCAACTGCTGTTTTCTACTCCTTGAAAGCATAACAAATAAAAGAACTTTTCTTTTTCAGTAAATTCTGAAACATAATTACCTTACCAGTCATGCCAAGTGAATCTCATTAAGCTCTTTTGATTAAGATAATGCTAATTCATAAAAGAAAGTATCCTAAATTTAACAAACAGGAAAAATCAGGGACTTGTCTAATTCAACTCACAAAATTGAGCCACGTTTCTTTTACCATGAACATGGTGAAAGGGATTCAACTAACTAAATAAA
Organism: Homo sapiens; assembly: GCF_000001405.40. Lineage (NCBI taxonomy): Eukaryota > Metazoa > Chordata > Mammalia > Primates > Hominidae > Homo > Homo sapiens. The sequence continues at coordinate 518,691 of NT_187679.1, forward strand.
AGAAAACAAAAGGTAAGGTTAAGTAATAGCATATTACATTTGGGGATGAAGGAGAGTCTCTAATGCTGTAACAGAGGGATTACTTTTGAACTTATTTTCCCCGTCTTTATTACTGACTTTGTAGAGGAGTAAATTGCATATTTTTTTTCTTTTTTTGAGACAGTCTCATTCTGTTGCCCAGGCTGGAGTGCAATGGCACGATCTCAGCTCACTGTAGCCTCCGTCTCCTGGGTTCAAGAGATTTTCCTGCCTCAGCCTCCTGAGTAGCTGGGACTATAGGCATGCACCACCACACCTGGCTAATTTTTGTATTTTCAGTAGAGACAGTGTGTCACCATCTTGGCCAGGCTGGTCTCCAACTCCTGGCCTCAAGTGATCCACCTGTCTCAGCCTCCCAAATCGTTGAGATTACAGGGGAAGCTGAGATAGCAAATTTGTTAAGGCTTTTGGAGTTGTTGTTGGATTCTGTAGGAGTAATATCACAAAGGGTGCCCATGTAGAAGGAGCCCCTTTACTCACAGCATTTATCATGACCTGGGTAACAGGCCTATTCAGCTGGGGAATATCCCAGTCATCATAAAGTCAGCCCCACACGGCTCACATACAAAGCATATCGGCTGGGTCATCTGGGGTGCTCCGACACACAAAGCATATCAGCTGGGTCATCTGGGGTGCCCCAACATACAAAGCATATCAGCTGGGTCATCTAGGGTGCTCTGCTTGGCATTTATAGGTGGAGTTGGACCATCTGCTTATCACGGAAAACAGACCTTCCTGTGGCTTTTCTCTAGTCCACTCGTCTGGCTGTTCCTGCATGAATAACCTCCTGTGTGTCTGGATCACATATACCCATCTGTGGTTGTTCAATAGTGAGTGTGGGTCCTGCACCAGCCCAAACAACTCTTCCACTCTGCAGCATTTAAAACCAGAGACGCTGCTCCTAAATTAGTCACTCTCGATCTGTTTTAGTAAAAGTTCCTCGAGAAGTTAATGATATCAATGTTCAAAATGGAGCAGTTCCTTCACAGGACACCCTCTGGTTTCAACAGTAGTTGGATTTTCCCTTCTCCCACATTCACTGCCTTCTTGGTGACCACAGTTCTGAAGGTACTTTCTGGTGTCCAGGCTTAATGTTCCCCTTTCTGGGTGGCTTTGAGGCTGGTGGCCTGAGTTGAGACAGACCCACATCTGAGTTTATTCCAGCCTCAAGGCCTTACCCAGCACCGTCTTTAACTTTCATTTTAGCCATTATAGATAACAATAACCAAGGGACTGAATCTTTTGCTTTTTTCTTGTTAGTTTGCATTTCCTTATGCATCCAGTGAACTAATTCCTGGGAGGTTGGATCCATCTCTAAATTCGGCTGATAACTTTTACCTTTAGTAACTGATCTCAACATAGCTGCAGCTTCATACCATGAGTGACCACGTGGCCACCTGGGAATCGAAGATTCTTCATCCTCCCACCCTTTAATCCTTTCTCTTTTCAAAGCACATGCTTCCATCAGTCAGGGCCATTTAAGCAAATCCCACTTCACTGACAATTATGTAGGGAAAAACTCTCTCAAACCTTGTTTTTTTTCCCTCTACTCTCACACCACAAAAATCATCAGCACAGAAGAAGACTTCTATGACCAAATGTATGGGGGTCTTTTCCCCATGCATCAAGCGCAGACACAAGTTTGGTGTCCTCGAATTCAGTTCTGACACTGTCTACCCTGAGATAGCATCAGGTCCCATAGATTGGGGGCTCAGTACCCAAGATTCTCCCCAGACTCCCAGACACGAGTTGCAAGTCTGGGCTTCCAGAACATCTGACTGACTGGCTTCAGGTTGAAGTTCCCATGATCCCCGCATTGAGTTTGATTAATTTGCTGGAACAGCTCATAGAACTCAGAGAAACACGTTTACCAGCTTATCACAAAAGATGCTACAACAGATACAGGTGAAAAGACACATAAGGCACGGTATGGGGGATGTGGCATGGCACTTCCTCACCTCCCTGGACACTACCCTCCTCTACGAACCTCCACGTGTTCAGCTAACCAGAAGCTTTGGTGCCATTTTCAAATGCCATAGCCTCACTTTGTGTCTGTGTCACATTTTGGTAATTCTAGCAATATTTCAAAATGTATTAGTATACTTGTTATGGTGCTCCGTGATCAGTGACCTTTGACGTTACTGCTATGTTCTGGGGCACCATGAGCTGCAACCATGTACGATGGCATACTTAATTGATACATACTGTATGGACTCTGACTGCCTCACCAACCCGCTGTTTTCCCATCTCTCTTCCTCTCCTTGGGCCTCCCTATTTTCTGAGACTCAACAATATGAAAATTAGGCCAATTAATAATCCTACAAGCCAAATAATAATCCTACAGTGGCCTATAACTGTTCGTGTAAAAGGAAGAGTCTCATGCATTTCTCACTTAAAATCTAACGCTAGAAATGATTAAGCTTAGTGAGGAAGGCATGTCAAAACATGAGACGGGCTGAAAGCTAGGCCTCTTGGATGAAACAGCCAAACTGTGAATGCAAAGGCAAAGTTCTTGAAGGATGTTAATCCAGTGAGCACACCATGCTAAGAAAGTGAAACAGCATTACTGTTGGTATGTGGAGTTTAATGGTCTGGATAGAAGGCCCAACCAGCCAGAACATTCCTTTATGCCAAATCCTAATTCAGAGGAAGGCCCTGACTCTCTTCGGTTCCTTAAAGGCTGAGAGAAGTGTGGACGCTGCAGAAGAAAAGTTTGAAGCTAGCAGAGATTGGTTCATGAGGTTTAAGGAAAGAAGTGCTCTTCATAGCATAACAGTGCAAGGTGAAGCAAGAAGTGTGATGGAGAAGCTGCAGCAAGTTACCCAGAAGATCTAGCTGAGATCACTGATGAAGGTAGCCACACTACACAATAGACTTTCAGTGTAGATAAAACAGCCTTCTCTACTGGAGGTACATGTCATCTAGGACTTTCACAGTTAGAGAGAAGAAGTCAATGCCTGGCTTCAAAATTTCAAAGGACAGGCTGAGTCTCATGACGGGTTAATGCATCTGGCAACTTTCAGTTAAAGCCAATGTGCCCTTACCATTCTGAAAATTCCAGGGCCCTTAAAACTTACGCTAAACCTACTCTGCCTGTGCTCTACAAATGGAACAACAAAGCCTGAATGACAGCACGTCTATTTATACTATGGTTTACTCAATATTTTAAGCTCACTGTTGATACCTACTGCTCAGAGAAAAAGTTTTCTTTCAAAATATTAGTACTCCATGACACCTAAGAGCTCTGATGGGGATATACAAGGAAATCAACTTTGTTTCCATGCCTGCTAATACAAGATCATTCTGAAGCTCAGGGATGAAGGAGTAATTTCAACTTCCAAGTCTTATTCTTTAAGAAATACATTTCATAGGGTTATCGCTGTCATATAATTCCTCTGATGGATTTGGGCAAAGTAAACTAAAAACCTTATGGAAGGTATTCACCATTCTAGATGCCATTGAGAACATTCATGATTCATGGGAGGGGGGCAAAATATCAACATTGACAGGAGTTTGTAAGAAGTTGATTAAAATTGTCATGGATAACTTTAAGGAATTCAAGACTTCAGTGGAAGAAATAACTGCAGATGTGGTAGAAAGAGCAAGAGCAAAAGAACTAGAATTAGAAGTGGAGCCTGAAGATGTGACTGAATTCCTGCATCTCATGATCAAACTTGATGAAATGAGGACTTGCTTTTTATGGATGAGCAAAAAGAAAAGTGGTGTTTTTTTTTTGGGAGGGATGAAATCTCCTCCTGGTGAAGATACTATGAACATTGTTGAAACAGCAATAAAGGACTTGGAATATTCAATAAACTTAGTTGATCAAGAAGCAGCAGGCTTTGAGAGGATGGACTCTAATTCTGAAAGAAGTTTCACTGTGGGTAAAATGCTATTAAACAGCATCACATGCCACAGAGAAATTTTTCATCAAAGGAAGGGTCAATTGATGTAGCACACTTCACTGTCGTCTTATTTTAAGAAATTGCTGGCCAGGCGCCATTTCTGATGCCTGTAATTCCACAACTTTAGGAGGCTGAGGCTGGTGGATCACCTGAGGTCAGGAGTTTGAGACCAACCTGGCTGACATGGTGAAACCCCGTCTCTACTAGAAATACAAAAATTAGCCAGGCATGGTGTTGGGTGCCTATAATCCCAGCTACTTGGAAGGCTGAGGCAAGAGAAATCACTTGAACCCTGGAGGCAGAGGTTTCAGTGAGCCGAGATCCTGCCACTGCACTCCAGCCTGGGAAACAGACTGAGACTCCATCTCAAAAAAAAAAAAAAAAAGAAATTGTCACAGGCACTCCAACCTTCAGTGCCCACCACCCTGATCTGTTGGCAGCAATCAACATAGAGGCAGGACCCCCATCATCAAAAAGATTACAACTTGCTGAAGGCTCAGATGATCAATAGCATTTTTATCAATAAATTATTTTAAATTAAGGCATGTACATTGGTATTTTCAGACATATTGAAATTGTACTCTTAATAGACTACAATATAGTGTTCACATGACTTTCATGCATTGCAAAACCAAAAAATATGTGTGGCTCACTTTATTGCAGTGTAGTCTGGAACCGAACTCACAATATTTCCAACGTGTGTCTGTAAATAGGACAGAGATACAGTGAGTCGTTAATGGTCAAGAAACCCAGAAACCTGATGAGAGTAAACTAGCCTCAAGACTGAGGAAAAACTTTCCAGAAGAATTTGGGCCTGTTATTGTCCTCATTCATGCATGCAATACTAACCTGCATGCCTACTTATGCCAAGAACTATTTTAAGAGATAGAGATTCAGCAATTAACAAAACAGTCTCTGCTCTCATGGAGCTTGCATAGGGCAAAGTGGGAGCAACCAGTGAAGAAATTTGAAAATGTGTATACAAGATAGGTCAGATGATAAGAAGTGCTTTAAAGAAGAATAAAGTAAAATAAGAGAATAGAGAGTAAGAAGGTGCCATTTTAAGTGAAATGGTCAGAAAAGATTCTTCTTATGACAGAGTAATAATTAATAATTAAGCAAAGGCCTGGATAAGAGAGGAAGTAAGCCATGCTGATTCCTGATGAGAAAGCATTCCAGGCAAAGGGGACCACACATGCAAAGGCCCTGAGGCAGAAGCACATCTGCCTGGTGTCTTTGAAGATTGCAATAATAGAGGGGAGACTGATGGGACTAGAGATCAGAGAAGTGTCAGGGGACAAGATGGTTTAAGACATTCCTAGCCATGGAAGGTTTTAAGCAGATGAAAATATTATTTGCCTTATGCTTTAAAAAGACTTACTCTGGATCACCTGAGGTCAGGGGTTCGAGACCAGCCTGGCCAACATGGCAAAACCCCGTCTCTATTAAAAATACAAAAATTAGCCAGGCTTGGTGATGCATGCCTGTAGTCCCAGCTACTTGGGAGGCTGAGGCAGGAGAATCGCTTGAACCCAGGAGGTAGAGGTTGTAGTGAGCCCAGATTGCACCACTGCACTCCAGCCTGGGTGACAGAGGAGACTCTGTCTCAAAAAACAAAAATAAATACTTACTCTGGTTGCTCAGTGAAGAACAAAGTGCAGGGAGAAAGAGAAAGTGGGAGAGGAGTTAGGAGGCTATTTTGATAATCCATGAAAGCAATGACGTAAAGTGAAGCAGGGTGTACACAATGGGTGTGGCAAGGGAAGCTCAGATTCTGAATACAGTTCAACAGTGTATGCTGATATGAAGTGCAAGAAACAAAGAAGGGTCAGGGCAAGTTTTCTGGCCTAACGGCTGGTATGCTGGAGGTGCTATTTACTGAGACGGAGAAGACTGAGGAGTGTTGGGCCCAGGGGTTGAAGGTGGAGGATCAAGAATTCCCTTATGGATGTGTGATAGTTGTCTATTAGTCTTCCAAGTGGTGATAACTGGCAGATAATTAGATATGAGTCTAAATTTTAGAGGAGAGGTAGGAGCTGGAAATATGTATTCATGGACCGTGCACACACACATGGAATTTAATGCCATTGGGCTTCATGAGATCACAGAGGCATGAGTGCACCTAGAAAAACGGTTGAGAACTGAGACCCGGGATACTCCCTTGTTAAAAGGTAAATGTTCCTTTTACATTTTGAACTTATAGAAATAATGACACAGTAGCCAGCCAGTTGCTGAAACTCTACTCAGTTCAGAGTAAAACAAAATTCCTATTTTATCGAATCACTGAATGCCATTTAAAATTCAGAATACTTGCAGAGATCCCAAATATCTTAATAAAGATGAATGCCTAAGTTCAGATTGGTGGCCTAGACTCTGCCTTCCCTGATTGTCTATTTAAAAATAACAATAATGATAATAATAAGAAGAAAATATTTATGGATCACTAGATATGTTGAAATACACTCAAAGGTAGATTCATTTCTTTTCTACTATACCCTTGTAACTATCAGTCTATAAAATAGTTTTATTAGAAAGTCACAGTCACCCTCAAGCCAATAGCAGCTTATAAATACAGGGCAAGGAGCCTGGTGTGGGGAGGCTGAGAAATAATTGAGAGAGCCAGTAGATATGAAGCTAACAAATAACACTGTCAACCAGAATTAGGCAGATAAGCCAGAGGCAGTGCAAGTGGCGGGTCAAGACAAGTAGACAGACAGAAGCCAGGAGTGAGAGACGGGAGGTCCAAAGTGCAATAAAACACTCAAGAACCAGTCAATCCATGGGAGCTTACAGCTGGAGGGGCGGCTGAAGGGAGGAGCATCCAGGTAGAGGGGAAGGAATGGTGGTATGAACAGGAGGCAGGAGGGCTCAAGCTATTTGATATGTTTGAGAGTGAGGTGCTTTTTTGAGGCTGAGAAAATAACTGGAAGCCAGAATCTGGAGGACTGGGTAGACCATGTTAAACAGCAAGCACTTGATTCTGCATGTGTTGGAAGCCAGTGCAGGGCTTCTAAGCAAGGCAGTGACATGATCACATCACATTTTAGGAAGGTTACAAATTAGGCATGGCCACAGGCAGGAAGACCTGAGGGATCTCTTACAGTCAGGGATAAGAGTCTAACCAACAAGGTGGCCATGAACATTCAAAGAAAGAAGACCGAAGAGACTTTAGAAGGCAGCCTCCACGGGACCTGACTGAAGGGGTTTGGGAGACTCACAGCTTTCTGCTGTGAAGTCAAGGATATCACAAACTATTGGAATAAAAGAAACAGTCCTAGGGCTGGGGGTAGGTAGGTGAATGCAGTTCCTTTTTGAACGGAGGAGAAAATTCAGGTAATTCATTTTGATTGATCAAGCAAAATAATTTGAAGCTGAACATTATAGAAGCAACAACAATTCTTATGATGTTGGGGTATAGGAAACAGGCCCAAGAAAGCACAGTATTTCCTGTTTCTCTTCTGATTCAATAAATAATAAGAATATTTTCTGTTAAAGTTTTTGATAACGTGTTGTTTTAATTAATCAAAAGGAGACAAGATACATTTGAACTTAAAAGCATAAGAAAATCAGTTGTCTTTTTAGAAAAGGTGAGTCAGCATGGGTAGGAAGAATCAATATCGTGAAAATGGCCACACTACCCAAGGTAAATTATAGATTCAATGCCATCCCCATCAAGCTACCAATGATTTTCTTCACAGAATTGGAAAAAACTACTTTAAAGTTCATATGGAACCAAAAAAGAGCCCGCATTGCCAAGTCAATCCTAAGCCAAAAGAACAAAGCTGGAGGCATCATGCTACCTGACGTCAAACTATACTACAAGGCTACAGTAAGCAAAACAGCATGGTACTGGTACCAAAACAGAGATATAGACCAATGGAACAGAACAGAGCCCTCAGAAATAATGCCGCATATCTACAACTATCTGATCTTTCACAAACTGACAAAAACAAGAAATGGGGAAAGGATTCCCTATTTAATAAATGGTGCTGGGAAAACTGGCTAGCCATATGTAGAAAGCTGAAACTGGATCCCTTCCTTACACCTTACACAAAAATTAATTCAAGATGGATTAAAGACTTACATGTTAGACCTAAAACCATAAAAACCCTAGAAGAAAACCTAGGCAATACCATTCAGGACATAGGCATGGACAAGGACTTCATGTCTAAAACACCAAAAGCAATGGCAAGAAAAGACAAAATTGACAAATGGGATCTAATTAAACTAAAGAGCTTCTGCACAGCAAAAGAAACCACCATCAGAGTGAACAGGCAACCTACAGAATGGGAGAAAATTTTTGCAACCTACTCATCTGACAAAGGGCTAATATCCAGAATCTACAATGAACTCAAACAAATTTACAAGAAAAAAACAAACAACCCCATCAAAAAGTGGGCAAAGGATATGAACAGATACTTCTGAAAAGAAGACATTTATGCAGCCAAAAAACACATGAAAAAATCCTCATCATCACTGGCCATCAGAGAAATGCAAATCAAAACCACAGTGAGATACCATCTCACACCAGTTAGAATGGTGATCATTAAAAAGTCAGGAAACAACAGGTGCTGGAGAGGATGTGGAGAAAGAGGAACACTTTTACACTGTTGGTGGGACTGTAAACTAGTTCAACCATTGTGGAAGTCAGTGTGGCAATTCCTAAGGGATCTAGAACTAGAAATACCATTTTACTCAGCCATCCCATTACTGGGTATATACCCAAAGGATTATAAATCATGCTGCTATAAAGACACATGCACACGTATGTTTATTGCGGCACTATTCACAATAGCAAAGACCTGGAACCAACCCAAATGTCCAACAATGATAGACTGGATTAAGAAAATGTGGCACATATACACCATGAAATACTATGCAGCCATAAAAAAGGATGAGTTGATGTCCTTTGTAGGGACATGGATGAAGCTGGAAACTATCATTCTCAGCAAACTATCACAAGGACAAAAAACCAAACACTGCATGTTCTCACTCATAGGTGGGAATTGAACAATGAGAACACATGGACACAGGAAAGGGAACATCACACTCCGGGGACTGTTGTGGGGTGGGGGGAGGGGGGAGGATAGCATTAGGAGATATACCTAATGCTAAATGACCAGTTAATGGGTGCAGCACACCAACATGGCACATGTATACATATGTAACAAACCTGCACGTTGTGCACATGTACCCTAAAACTTAAAGTATAATAATAATAAAAAAAAGAAAATAATAAGACTAAAGTCAAACTGTCCATTAAAATTTATATAATTCAATTTTGAGATTTTCTTAGTATATAATTTACATACATGACATACATGTGGATGTTTGGAGGTATATCCACATACATTCACCCATTTATTCTTTTATTTATTAATTTGTTTATTTGCTCATTAAAAAAATACTAAGTGATTACTCCAGGGATTGGGGTCTAAACATGTATAAGCCTTGGGGCCTCTCCTTAAAATCCACTGAGGCAAAGATGGGCAAATAAGTGGCTATAATGTATCCTGAAAAAAAAAGGAAAAGGAGAGTCAGTATTTCCTATGGTCTGAAATCATCTTTCAAATAATGGGATGTGAGACAAATGAGATGCTACTTATCTAGCCCTTTCCTTGATAGATTAAAAACGATATCAAAATCTTACTACATTGCAAAGACAGTAATTCACTCAGTTGAGAATCCACAGTATACAAACATATAAATCAAGGGAATTTTAAAAACAATCATTGTGTTCAAAATGGGAAGAGTATTTCAAATTTTTTCTACATATTTCAGAATAATTTCACAGTTAAAAACCCTGTACTTTATGAAATCATTATCCAGTATTTAATAAAGTATATCTATGACAATATCAACGTTGGAATTTAACAGTTTACAAAGCACTTTTGATACATCACATTTAAATGAAGGCGGCAACGAGTTCAGTACATTCACGCAGATTAGAAAACAGTTTTTGAAGATTGCATTTGTTCATGTAAGTCAGAAGGTTTGAACTATTTCCTACCCCTGCTATAGGTTTAAACCTAAGAATTGTTATTCATTACGATTTGGTCTTTAAATAAATCACGAAGGTAGAGGGTAGAGCACACCCCTTCAATGCACTGAGGTGCCGTAAGGCTCCAACGCCAGAGGCGGCCGGTTGGAATTTAGTTCAATCACGCGTTTGTTATGAAAACTCTGACAAGCTTCAGCTCTAAAGTAAGCTTGGAAACACAAAGAAACTCTGAGAAAAATACCAAACACACACACACAAACACACACACACACACTCACTCCTCTCTTTTTAGCTGGGCATAGAAAATGTAAGTGTACCAACAAGCAACCTCCAAAGAGCAAATGACACAGAAAATTCAAACGAGCGCCTGGTAGGAGTTGTAACTTCAACAAAGTGCCTCTCATATCTGCCTCATAAACCCGTACTCATTTTTCACAACTAACTCACATAGCACCTCCTCAGTGACACCTTTCCTGTTCTGCCCACCAGATATACCTGCGGACCAAGCGTAGTCTCTCACCCAGAACACAGGGCACCTTATACAGGGGGCTCTGTCTACAGGGGGCTCTATGCTTTGACAGGAACTGTGGACCTATGGGCAGCGGTTTTTCAAATCATGTTTGTGGCTCTCATTACAATTGTCCTGCCTCAGGCACCCAGCAGGCGGTAATAAATGCTGGTTGAACACTAAAACCTTGGAATGCTACATCATTGTTCTAAAGGATAGTCATTTTTTAAAACATTTTGGAAGTTCTTTTGAAACTGACTTTTTAGATTATGAAAATATCTCAGTGATAGGTTTTGGTTTTCCAAGTTAGACCTTATTTTATTTTAGAAACTGTCAAAAGTTATACAAAACCAAGCATGTATCTCTGTGCGTTTTGTTTTCTCTTCTCCCTTACTGCTAAGGAAGGGTTTCTTCTCTTTTCTAGGCCAAATGCTCCACAAATGAATGTGTTAACAAATGAACAAATTAATAAATGACACGAATGGGAGCTCAAACTGCATAAAAGTATATTTACTCAAAAATGGGAGGTGACGATTGCTAACATGTCATAACCAGACTCTGTCATGACCTCGGCAAGCCACAACATTGACAATAAAGAGGAAAGAGGATCAAGTCCCTAAATACCCAGGTGAACTAAGACCTTCCCACGTGCCCGAAGAAGATACACTTGCAGAGGAGAAATGATGATGCAGGGGCCTGCTCCGAGATGCAGGAGGAAGTTTAATTGCCTGTGAATTTCACTGGGAAGGAAGGGATGAAACGAGGTTTGAAAGGAAATAGAGATTGTTAAACTCCTGACTAGGCGATAACTGCCGTCCTTCTCTTCTATCTGCCCCTGTGACTAGGCGGTAACTGCCGTCCTTCTCTAATATCTGCCCCTGTGACCAGGCGATAACTGCCGTCCTTCTCTAATATCTGCCCCTGTGACTAGGCGATAACTGCCGTCCTTCTCTTCCATCTGCCCCTGTGACTAGGCGATAACTGCCGTCCTTCTCTTCCATCTGCCCCTGTGACTAGGCGATAACTGCCGTCCTTCTCTAATATCTGCCCCTGTGACTAGGCGATAACTGCCATCCTTCTCTTCCATCTGCCCCTGTGACTAGGCGATAACTGCCGTCCTTCTCTGCTGTCTGCCCCTACCTTGGGCCCCAAATGGCTCAGCACTAAAGTGCCTTGAGCAGGCTCCAGCCCAAAGGTGGCCTCCATGGTTACCACTTCCCACTCTGCTGCCCTGCCTCGCTTTCCTCCTCGGCCTTCCCGGATGGATGACCGATGTCATTCCCAGGTTCCCTAACACTCAAGCCTAGCCCCTCAGTTTCTAGCAAGCATCAAGCTTCACTGTGTGTCTAGCCTCTCAGGAGTCAGACCTGAGAAGTATAGCTTGGTGGAAATTCAGTGGCAGGGAAGAAAGAAGGAAGGAAAGAAGACTCTGAGCTGGATTCATACACATCATCGCAATTCATCCACACCACAGTCCTGTAAGGTATGTGCCATTGTACTCAGAAAACTGAGGCTCAAAGAGATTGAGCAACTTATCTAAGCCTTCGCAGGTCCTGAGAGCAGAGCTTGGATTTTAAACACCTGGGAGACTCTGAAATCCATGTTAGCTCTTCTATACATGAGCCCAAAACGCAGCTGTACACCAAGACTGACTTCCTCTTACAGCTTATCACTAGCTCTGAATACAAGAGTCCTCAAAATGCTTTATAAGCAACAGTAGCATCATGGGAATAAGTTGGCAAGTTCCCAGCATTACTGCTTTAGAGGCACTTGAACTTTTTCTCCATGTATAGAGTCAAGAATAAGAAAAAGGATCCAAAGGAGAAGGAGAGAAATAAAACGGGACTGAGCCTTATACTTCTTGACCCAGAACAGACAATGGTGGGATTTTCCTTACTTTTTTTCCAGGCAAATCCAATAAAGACGTCTGTTTCTGTTACCTAAAACCAACTTGAAAAGTTTGCTCCCTCCCACCTTAAGTGTCTTTGAATAGAGCCCACAGTTGAACATTGGTTCCTACGGCAAAGATTCATTTCAAAGTGTTTATAGTATTATTCGAAGCACGTTTGATTTCAGCCTGGGCAACCATGGCAGAATGTCAGCAATGCTCCCCGTATTAGCTGTCGGAGAGAAAACACTGTGAAACCCAAACACCTTGGTTATTGGGCCAATGAAACATTTATGCCCTGATCAGATGGAGCAAAGCTTCGGCAGGGTTAGTGAGCCACCTTCCAAGTGTACCAATGAAGCTCTTGCCTGCTGTTTCAGATAAATGACTTTCATTTCACTGTTGGCTTGTGCTTGAGAAGGTTATTCAATTGATTCCAGTTGTTTGCAATGCCTTGAAGGCAAGTAATGTTGTAGCATCCACTGTCCTCATAACACACTGTTTCTTTTCTAAGGAAGGTTGTTGTCATAATACCCTAGATATCCACAGAAAATATTCTACTTCTTATCATATATTAATTTTGCTCTGGAATAAGTAAATGTAACTACCAGAATGCTAATGAGGATGTTACACTGTTGTTTATTTGTGTGTTCTAATCTGTAGATAAACAGCAAGATCTCTTTTATTTCATGATTCCAAGTCTCAGGCCACAGCAGGACAAGTATCAAAACATCTATTCTCAATTCGGAGTTGAGATTTCTAATAAGAATTCTATTTTCTCCATAATCATAAAATAGCACCAGGAAAAGTCAATATCTATCTTAAAATACAGACCATTGAAAAGTAGATCTTTCTGCCCTTAACATAAACAAACTGTAAAATCTGAAGTTAAAATTATTCCTTGTACCAGCCTCCTAATTTACCCAGAGTTAACAGAAAAGTTATAGCAGTGCAGGAAGCTCTGAGGCTTTGATGGGTGTAGATATAGACATACAAACCTATCATTTCACACTAGTCAGAATACCAGTCATAGAAATCCCCGCAGGGAAAAATCTGAAGGTATCTGGTCTTATGGACTGTATAATTAAACTTTCTTATCATTGTACCTAAACCAAAATATGCTTCCTATACAAAGAAGGTTTCTTTCAAGAGTTAAGACTGCCTCCTGCCATCCTCCTTAACACACACACACACACATGCACACACACACACACACACACACACAGAGAGAGAGAGAGAGAATTGAGAGCATTAGTCCTTTTCTCCCTTAGACTGATTTTTTCTTACTGTTATTTTCAGCCACTTTGTTAACGGTGGGGTTAAAGGGCAGGATAGATGTAACACCCATTTCACATACATATTGCAACATCAGAGATGCTGGTTTTCATTAAAAACACCAGATCTAAATTCCTTCTAAAATATATTTTAAAAAATCAGTACACTTGGCACCTTGGAAATGCTGAAATGTTATCATGAATGCTCGTTATTTGTTATGAGTCAATTGAATATTATCTTCAATATAAACTATAATTTACTGGTCTGATAGCTCTTCCTATCTTACCTGTATATACTCAAAGGGAGCGATTTCTCATGTTTAGCAAATTGTTCTTTAGGTAATTTGTTCTTTAGGTTTTTTGTACAAAAGTACAAAATAGTTATCACAGCAAACTTTCCAGTATTTGTTATTTTGAAGCTATATGGTTTTTTTTTTTTTTTTTGCCATGTCAGGCTTGAGCAGGATAGCAAATATATAAATTGAGCTCTCTAATTATAATCTCAATATATGAATTCTTGCTAATTAAAATACTTTGCACCAGCAAAAACAATTTTCATGTATGTGTTTAGGAGGTAGTTAAGTAACTCTATATAAAAATAAGTGCACTTTCCCCTCCTTTCTTCAGTGACTAGAAAACGTCCATATTTTTAAAATAATCAAATAATAATTTTAGAGAGCAACAGCCCTCAACTCTTTGCTGGTGCTTATCACACTGCCTTTCTTCACTCCATTCTTAGCTCTGCTAGTTTCTTCTTGTCTGTAATGATAATAAGGGAATGTGGGTGGGTCAGCACTTCTGTGTAGGTCCCCTTTCCAAATTTACCTTCCAAAAAGCCAACCAAATAAACAACCAAAAAATTGTGCAACAAAACACAAATAGCGTTCCAATAGCAAGTGATGCATTCACCTGAGATTAAGTGGTTTTAGGTGGTCAGTAACAAAATGCTGCTTTGCTGTCATAGTAGAAAGGCAACAAATTCTTCAAAGAAACCAAGAAGGTTACAACCTTGACAAAGTCTCTCATTACCTTCCTCCTCTTGTGTCTTTTTTCTCCACATTATCTGTTGCGTATCTACTATAGAAGGCTGCAAAACATACAGCAGAAAGGATGGCTTGAAGGCAATTGATGTTTGTAAAAAAATCCACAACAGGATCCAAGCTGAAGAGGTGAACACGTCAGCCTGGTGGGACAATTCTCAGCATGTGCAAACATAGGTAAATTCTAGCCTATGTTACATTAAAAACAATGTCAGTGCATTTTTTCATGTTAAAGTTTTTTTCAAAGCTAAAGTGTGTTCCTTGTTGTGCTGACCACAAACGAGTTTTAAGAGTTTTGAAAGTCTGGCAAAAATAGAAAAAAAAAAAAAGCTGTAGTGACATTGAACTGCTCAATGTAAGCATTGGGCATGCACAAATTTTCAAAACAAAGGAAGGAAATCATCCCTCTTACAACATGGTTAGGCTGATCTTTAAGAAATAAAATGTAAGAAATTAGAAAAGCAAATGTTTGGCACCTACATATCCAATATCTGGCACCGTGCAGAGTAGAAGAGTGAAAGAAATAACGAAGAACAAAGTGGTTACTTTGCTTCAGGAGTTCATGATCTGTAGTTAGAAACCAATATAAACATTGTGAGTATATTTCAAAGAAAGAGAAAAGCAGGCCGGGCATGGTGGCTTGCACCTGTAGTAATAACGCTTTGGGAGGCCAAGGTGGGAAAATTGCTTGAGCTCATGAGTTTGATACCAGCCTGAGAAATATAGTAAAACCTCATCTCTATAAAAAAAATTAATTAAAAAAAAGGCAGAGCAAAAACAAATATGAAAGAAAACATTAGAAATCAGAGCTTGGGCAAAGAGTTAAATGTGAGCAAAGCATCTCTGCCTTGGGGGGCCTCTGGAGCATCCCGGCTTCCTGTAGAGGCCCCACCACATGGCCCTTTCCCATCACTGGGAACTGTCTTCTGTATCGTGCCAGGATTTTCCCCCAAACTTCTCAACCTAATTTATTCAGCCAAAACATATATATTTCTTGAATCCTTGCTAAGAGCAAGGCACTGTTCTACATAATGAAAATATGGCAATGATATAAAACAAAAATATTTACCCTCAGGCAAATTACATTCCAGTGAGAAAAGACAGATCATTAATAAAATAAATATGTAAAATATAGAATATGCCAGAAGGTAATAAGTGGTACAGAGAAAAATTAAGCATGGAAGGGAGCTCAGGAATGCTGGGAGTGGGTAGATGTGAAGGTAGTTAGAATGCTCAAGGAGGGAGTAATAGGCAGAAGAATGGCCTTTCTACATGTCCATATCCCTATATGGCAAAAAGGACTTGTGGATGTGATGAAGTTATGGATCATGAGATGAGGAGATTATTCTGGATTACCCAGGTTGGCTCAATGTCATCACAAGAGTACTTAAAAGCAAAAGAGGGAGGCAGGAGAGTCCGAGGCAAGAGGCGTGACAGCTAGGGTCAGAATGACGTGGTGGCTGCCTGGAAGGGGGCCAGGAGCCAAGGGATGCAGGCATCCTCTCAAAGCTGCAGAAGGTAAGAAAGTGGTCTCTCTCCCCTAGAGAGAGTGTGTGTTCTCTTAGCCTACTAGAGGTGTGTTAATTTATTCCTGCAGTCATAGAAAACATATAGAAGGTCTCACTGAGAAGACAACATTTGAACAAAGATTCCAAGGAGGCGAGGGCACCAGCTATGCAGATATCTGGGGAAGAGCACTCGAGGAAGAAAAGGCAGGCAAACAGCAGGGTGCACACCTAGCCCAGGTGCATGAAGTAGAGAACACTGGGAGTCAGAAGGCTAACAGGAGACAAGTCAGAGAGAGGGACTGGGGTGGGTCAACTCACACTCAGCCTCACTGGCTACTGTAAGAACTTCAAGTTATTCTGAGACACTCAGTATAGGAGAGTCTATGAATATTTATAGAAATTCTGAATGTTTACAAGACGAATAAAAGTGGTATGCTAGTAAACTTATTGGTTGGGTGGGGAGAAGCCCAGATTTGTAGCATTTGCTGATTTCCATTGTGTAAATATTTCTACTGATGGTTTGACAAACACTTCATAAAATTCCTGGGTACTTAATTATCAGCTCCAGTAGAGCACTGCATGTATGACATCCCATTTGCCAATTCCACACTAGATTCTGTTGGGGACAAGCTGTATGAGAGTCAACTAGCAACAGAAATAAGGAAGTCCTCAATAAAAATCAGCATTTACTTTTGACAGATGTGAGATTCTGGAATGTATTTCTCTTTACTTGCTCTGCCTGGTGATTAAATTATGATTTTAAAAGAAATAGTTTTAATTCCTTATCAGAATGCTGCCACCAAATAAATAAAATACGTACTTTAACTATATGCAATCTTGTCTATATTATACTGTTGTCAACGGAAACATTATCAGGGGCCAGCTTCATGAAAGGAGATATGTGATAGAAGCTGGAGTTGTTGGAGTGAAAAAAAAAGTCAAATTTTACTTTGGATTAATCAGAGGGAAGAAAGCAGACAGATAGGAAAGGAAAGGCAGGCTTAGCCAAGTTGAAGAAAGAGGCTGAACTCAGGAGGCAGTGGGAGAATAGGATCATAGTTTGAAGAGAGCTGCAAGGCTGTTTAGTCCAGGTGAGGATCATAATCCCAGAAGACCCAGTCACAAACACCATAACCCTGAATGTTGAAATCCTGAAAGATCAAAATTCCTAAGGTCTAAATTCATTTCTTTTTAGTAGAGATGGAGTGAATTAGTTCATTCTTGTGCTCCCAATAAAGACATACATGAGCCTGGGTAATTTATAAAAGAAAGAGGTTTAATTGACTCACAGTTTGGCATGGCTGGGAAGGCTTCAGAAAACTTACAATCATGGTGAATGCAAACAAGAAGCAAGGCACTTTTTCACAAGGCAGCAGGAGGTGCTGAGCAAAAGGGGAAAAGCCCCTTGTAAAACCTTCAGGTATTGCTCACTGTCATGAGAACAGCATGGGGGTAACCACCCCCCTGATTCAATTACCTCCGACTGGGTTCCTCCCACAACATGTAGGGATTATGGAAACTAAAATTCAAGGTGAGATTTGGTTGGCAACACAGCCAAACCATATCATTCTGCCCCCAGCCCCTTCCAAATCTCATGTCCTTACATTTTAAAACATGATCATGCCTTTCTAACAGTCCCCCAAAGTCTTAGCTCATTCCAGCATTAACCCAAATGTCCAAGTCCAAATTCTTATCTTAGACAAGGCAAGGCCCTTCTGCCTATGAGCCTGTAAAATCAAAATCAAGTTAGTTACTTCATAGATACAATGAGGGTATAGGCATTGGGTAAATACACCTGTTCCAGATGGGAGAAATTGGCCCAAAATGAAGGGACTGCAGGCCCCATGCAAGTCCAAAATTCAATGGGTCAGTCAAATCTTGAAGCTCTGAAATGATTTCCTTTGACTTCATGTCTCACATCCAGGTCACGCCGAAGCAAGAGTTGGGCTCTCATGGCCTTGGGCAACAGGGGTGCCTGTTGATTTGCAGGGTACAGCCCTTCTCCTGGCTGCTTTCACAGGCTGGTGCTGAGTGTCTGTGGCTTTTCCAGGCATACGGTGCAAGCTGTCAGTGGATCAACCATTCTGGAGTCTGGAGGATGGTGGCCGTCTTCTCTCAGCTCCACTAGGCAGTGCCCCAGTGGGGATGGTGTGGGGGCCCACATTTCCCTTCTGCACACATTGCCCTAGCAGAGGTTCCCCATGAGGGCTCTGTCCCCGTCACAAATTTGTGCCTGAACACCCAGGCATTTCCATGCATCCTCTGAAATTTAGGCGTAGATTCTCAAACCTCAATTCTTGACTTCTGTGCACCCACAGGCCCAACACCTCGTGTAAGCTGCCAAGGCTTGGGGCTTGTACCCTCTGAAGCCATGGCCTGAGTTGTACATTGGCCCTTTAGCCATGATTGGGACACACGGCACCAAGTCCTGAGACTGCACAGAGCAGCAAGGCCCTGCACCGGGCCCATGAAACCATTTTTTCCTCCTAGGCCTCCTGTCCTGTGATGCCTTGAGCTACTGTGAAGGTCTCTGACATACCCTGAAGACATTTTCCCATTGTCTTGGTGATTAACATTCAGCTCCTCGTTACTTATGCAAATTTCTACAGCTGGCTTGAATTTCTCTCCAGAAAATGGGTTTTCCTTTTCTGTCTCATCATCAAGCTGCAAAATTTTTTAAACCTTTATGCTCTGCTTCCTCTTGAACACTTTGCTACTTAGGAATTTCTTCTGCCAGATACCCTAAATCATCTATCTCAAGTTCATAGTTCCACAGACTTCTAGGGCAGGGGCAAAATGCCGTCAGTCTCTTTGCATAGTAAGAGTCACCTTTACTACAGTTCCCAAAAAGTTCTTCATCTCCATATGAGACCACCTCAGCCTGGACTTCATTGTCCATGTCACTATCAGCATTTTCCTCAAAACCAATCTGCAAGGCTCTAGGAAGTTCCAAACTTCCTCACATTTTTCTGTCTTCTTTCAAACCCTCCAAACTGTTCAAACTCTGCCTGTTACCCAGTTCCAAATTCACTTCCACATTTTTAGGTATCCTTATAGCAACACCCCACTACCTCAGTGCCAATTTACTGTATCAGTCCATTCTCATGCTGCTAATAAAGACATACCCAAGCTGGGTAATTTATAAAGGAAAGAGGTTTAACTGACTCACAGTTCATCATGGCTGGGGAGGCCTCAGGAAACTTACAAGCATGGCAGAATGCAAAGGAGAAGCAAGTCACCTTCTTCACAAGGCGGCAGGAAGGAGAAGTGCAAGCAAAGGGGGAAAAGCTCCTCATAAAACCATCAGATCTTGTGAGAACTCACTCACTATCATGAGAACAGCATGGGGGTAACTGCCTCCATGATTCAATTACCTCCCACTGGGTCCCCATCATGATATGTGAGGATTATGGGAACTACAATTCAAGATGAGATTTGGTTGGGGACACAGCCAAACCATATCATGGGGTCTCACTTTATTGCCCTGGCTGATTTCAAACTCCTGGGCTCAAGTGACCCTCCTGACTTGGCCTGCCAAAGTGTTGGGAATACAGACATGAGCTACCATGCCCAGTCCTAAAGTCTAAATTCTTAACATCTAAAATCCAGAAAATCACAATCACAGGAGAGTTGTACCACGTTAGTTGCATCATGTTAGGTACAACTCTTGCTTTGTTTTCTTCTTATTTGGAAATTATGTATGGTTTAAGGGGGTCCATATGGGTGCCAAATCTACAAGGGGTGGACTTGCAGACTTAATTTCAGGTGTCAACTTGACTGGATTAAGGAATCCCTGGAAAGCTGGGAAAGTATTATTTTGGGTATGTCTGTGATGGTTTTCTCAGAAGAGATCAGTGTGTGGGTCTGAGCGGACTAGGTGGGGAAGATCTGCTGTCAATGTTTTGAATGTCTTGAATATCACAGAAGTGAAAATGAAAGTAAAAAATGCACAAAATCTTGTCTGCCAAATTATGTAATCATGTACCAAGCACCTCTACACGTAGCACCATGCTTGTCTTCACAAAATGCCTTTTGTCAGATAATAAAAAGAGTTCAACAAATTCAGTGGCCTTCTGAACCAGACACCTGCTGGCACAGAGCTTCCTCCAGTGCTACAAGACATATTAAATCATGAACTATTCTTGATTAGGGATTTGACTGTCAAAAAAGATAAACATATTTATTTACCACTAAGTCTAACATAACAAAACTGGTGCATTTTTCACTTTGGCTGATGAATGGCACTTTCAAAACTGTCCCCAGTGGGTTTTTATAATCAACTTTATACAGTTTATGCCCCCAATGAATTACAAAATTCTATAATTTAATCTTCATGTTTATGGTTTAATAACTGGAAAAAGTGAAGTACTTTATAAAAGCTTATTTGAAGATTTGGAGGGCTTTGCAGAAGAAAATAGATTTCAATCAGATCCCCAAATTATAATGACAAGTTTTTAATTAGGTGTGATCAAGGCTTCTAAAAGTGAATTGCAAGTTGTTACCAGTAAAGTTTGTATCTTCCATTCAGCCCAGTTCATTTGCCAGAAAATTCAGGTGAGTGGATTGGCCAGGCCATATGGCAATGATGAAAATTTTAGTTTTAAAATGTGCCATTTGTCTGTATTGGCATTCCTTCCACCTGATAAAACTCCAGGAGCTTTTGATAAATTAAAACCACAATTGCCTGAAGAAGCCAGAAAAATTACATACTAGTTTGAAAATAATGATGTGCAAGGTGGGATAAGAAGTCATTCAGGCAACGGTGTTGCTGTTCAATCAAGAGTATTGTTTCTGCCAAATGAGTGGCCTGTATATGAGGGCCTGCAAAATGGATTTCCACATACTCAAAACAATAGACAAGAATGGCATAGAAGATTGGAAAATATAATAGGAAATGCTCATGTCAGTGTGTATCAAATTATAGAATTTCAAAAAGAGCAGTGCCACATAGAAAATGAATGTGAACATATTTTATGAGGAGAGTCAAATCCTAAAAACAAAAAAGGCATCATGATGAAAGACTTCAAAATACAGTTAATGATAATGAGAGTCAGCCAGCTATTATGAACTCTGCAATTGCCCATAATCTATCCATGTAATATACTTTTTATATGTCAATTTTCGTTTTAGTTGTTTCTTTTTCCATTTTTTCCACTATTTTAAATTGTCAGCATTTTTTACAACTTGGTATGCTATGTATTTCATCTTAGTATCATTTCCAATACTGGAGGTATAAATTTTGCAAAGACTTTTAGAGAGTTCTAATTTGTTTTATGCTTTTATTTTTGCAAATTTGACTCCACAAGAGTGCATTATCACAACACTGACTTTGTGTGTAAGCATTGTACCTGTACATAAAAACATTAAAGCTTCCTCAATAAATGAGAAGATATCCTTTTTGCACATTTGTATTTGGGAAAGAGAAAATTTCTCAAGATCTCAGCTCTTTGACTGCATATTAGATGGTGACCCATCCCAGCTTTTGATGAATCTGGTCAAAAGACTTAGGTTGTCTGTCACAGTATTCCAGATGACCTAAGTTATAAAGCTGAGTGCACCCAGTTACCAACCATGCTTTTATACATTTTGCTTTTTGACCCATTTCTTTACGAGTACAACTCATCTGCTCATTACTGTTATACCCATAAGACGCTCTTTAGCATACCTGAGTTTTATGCTTGCAAATATATGTATGTTATTATTGCCTATTGATTGTGTAAAGTAGCCTAGGAAGTGTTCTGTTGTGTTTTTATACGTTTATCAAATAAATTCCATCTTAAAAATATAAATAAATGCTTTTTTGTTGTTTTTAGACAGAGTCTCACTGTGTCACCCAGGCTGGAGTGCAGTGGTGCGATCTCAGCTCACTGTAACCTCCACCTCCTGGGTTCAAGTGAATCTCCTGCCTCAGCCTCCCAAGTAGCTGGGACTACAGGCACCCATCACGATGCCTGGCTAATTTTTTGTATTTTTAGTAAAGATGGGGTTTCACCGTGTTGGCCAGGATGGTCTCGATCTCCTGACTTTTTGATCCACCCGCTTTGGCCTCCAAAAGTGCTGGGATTAAAGGTGTGAGCCACCACGTCCTGCCCAATAAATGCTTTTTAAAGAATGTGTTAATAATTTTTTTCCAGAATTGTATTTTCAGAATTTTGTTTTTTGAGGATTGTAATTTTCAGGATTTTAGACTGTACAGATTTAGATCTTTTGGGACTTCAACATTTGGGATTATGACGTTCAGGATTGTGTCTTCCTGGGCTGTGACCCAAACCCATGTGGTCCAACGCTATTTCACATGAGAGGAAAGCAAACCACGTGCACAGATGCAATGAAGGCTTAAATAGGCGTCATGTATTGATTATATCCCTGGAAAACATGATTAAGATGATACGTAGCGACTTTTTTTTTCCCCAGTGAAAAAGATCCACATTCTTTTTCTTGTGTGGAACTAAACACAATTTCTGAATCAATGTAAGTGAATGTGAATCACCATGTTCACTTAGCTGATGCTCCTTTATTAACGGGGATAGAAGGGACGTGATTCAAAGAGATGGCGGCACAGGACCCATGACCTAAGGAAGCTGCAGTGGGTGAAGGGGAGAAACAGAGGAGCAGGGGCTGGAGAAAGAGTGGGGAGTCATCAACTACCCTCCTTGCTCCCGGCATCTGGTGTTTGGAGCCCAGAGGTCTTCTCTAAGGCCTCGGAGAAGCTTCCAAGTCTGTTCATTTCTCTTTCCCCACCCCTGCTTGTATCACAAATAAAGAAATTATTGACAACTGAGTTCCTGACTAGGTGGCAGGATTTTAGGGATCCTTCACCTCGTCCAAACCTCATGAAGGTAGTGGGAGTCCCATGGGTTAGTTAGCAATAGTCCTTGAGATTATTTGTTCATATAAATAATCACAATACTCATAGTCATCTTGCTTTTCTCATAATGCCCAGCTGGGGGACGGTGGGGGCAGAGAGGACTGGAGTGAGAAGAGATAGAACAAGAGCTGGCTTTCATGTATGGGGCTCTCCAGAGCAATCAGGCCTAAGGACAATCAAGAGGGATCTTGAAGCAGCTCTGGCAAGGGCAGCCTGGACTCAGGCCCCAGCTTGCACCAAGCACGTCACCTGTCCAACTGGGAAGCCTAAGCAATGTGTTTCTGTTTTTGTTTTGTTTTCTGGTAAAGAATTCAATGTCGTTAGCTACATTCACAATGCTGTGCAATCATCACCACTATCCATTTCCAGAACATTCTATCATCCCAGACAGGAACTCTGTGCCCATTAGACACTAACCTCCTGCCAGCCCTGAAAACCTCTATTCTACTTTCTGTCTCTGTTAATTTGCCTGTTCCAGGTTCTTCATATAGATGGAATCACGTAGTCTGTGTCTGATGTCTCACTTAGCATAATGTTTTTAAGTTTTATCTATGTGGTAGCAAGTATCAGAATTTCCTCCCTTTTCAAAGATCACTAATATTCCATTTTATGTCTATACCACATTTTGTTTATCCATCTATCCCTCAATAGACTTTTTAGGTTGTTTCCACCTTGTGGTTGCTGTAAATAAGGCTGCTGTGATGCTGCAATGAACACAGGTGTAGCAGCCAGGTGTGGTGGCATGCGCCTGTAGTTCCTGCTACTCAGGCTTCTGAGGCAGGAAGATCCCTTGAGCCCAGGAGTTCTGGGCTGCAGTGTGCTGTGTTGATCAGATGTCTGCATGAAATTAGACATTAGTACAGTGACCTCCCGGGATAGGGGACTACCAGGTTGCCTAAGGAGTGGCGAACCGGCCAACAGGGGGGTCGCGCCCGTGGACAGCCCTGCAGAGGGGGTGGGGGGGAGGCGGGGTTGTCGCACCCGTGGACAGCCCCGCAGCAGGGGGCTCGTGCCCGTGGACAGGCCTGCAGCGCG
The DNA here is from genome assembly GCF_000001405.40 of Homo sapiens. Classification (NCBI taxonomy): domain Eukaryota; kingdom Metazoa; phylum Chordata; class Mammalia; order Primates; family Hominidae; genus Homo; species Homo sapiens. The sequence continues at coordinate 542,757 of NT_187679.1, forward strand.
GGGCGGGGGGGCGGGGCTCGCGCCCGTGGACAGCCCCGCAGCAGGGGATCATGCCTATAAACAGCCCCTGCACTCCGGCCTAGGAAACATAGTGAGACCCCATCTATTAAAAAAAAAAAGGGTACGGAGAGAACACAGGTGTACAAGTATCTATTTGAGTAACTGCTTTCCATTCTTTTGAAGATAGGTATAGGTAGATATAGATACAGATATAGAGATTTACAGATATGAGTGGGATTACTGAATCATATGGTAATTCTATGTCTAAATTTTTGAGGAACCATATGTTTTCCACAGCTGATGTACTATTTTTCATACCCACCCTCAATGCACAAGAGTTACAATTTTTCCACATCCTTGTCAGCACTTGTTATTTTCTGGGTGTTTTTGCTTTGTTTTGAGGCCAAATCTCCTTCTGTCTGCAGGCTGGAGTGCAGTGGCGTGATCTCGGCTCACTGCAACCTGTGCCTCCCAGGTTCAAGCGATTCTCGTGCCTCAGCCTCTCAATTAGCTGGGATTACACATGTGTGCCACCATGCCCGACTAATTGTGTGTGTGTGTGTTTTGTTTTGTTTTGTTTTTTGGTACAGATGAGGTTTCACCATGTTGGCCAGGTTGCTGTCAAACTCCCGACCTCAGGTGATCCACCTGCCTAGGCCTCCCAAAGGGCTGGGATTACAGGTGTGAACCAGCATGCCCAGCCCCTGATTTTTTTGTTTTTTCTTTTTTGATAGCAGCCATCTTAATGGGTGTGCAGGTGTGTGTGTGTGTGTGTGTGTGTGTGTGTGTGTGTGTTTTAATGTCACATTGGTGATTCTAATGTGTAACCAGCAAAGAAAAGCATGGATTCTGGGTCTCAATTTTTCATCTAGGTAAACCAGAGCAAATAAAACCTATCGAAGAGTCCTCCTGATGATTGAATGAGTTCCCCCATAGAAGGCAAAATTTACAAATGTTGGTTCCTCTCTTATTCCCTTGGAATTCTACTAAACTTCCTGCCTCAACATACAGAGAAACTCCCTGAAGCCTAAAACTATGCAGATTTGACATAGGGCTGATTTTAACTTCTGTTTTGCTTTTACCATATAGCTAGCTGCAGAGGTCACATGTGTCCTCCATGACATCTAAATAGCACTACACCTGCACCAGCTTTCCTCTCAAATTAACTACTCATCAGTTCTATTATTAAATAAACAGGGAGCAGCTGTAATACTCAAGGAGTGTGTGGGATTGTGCTTTAAAATTACATCTCTGCCAACACTTTGTTTGCTTGTTGAATAACTACAAGTTTTCCAGTTAAATTAATAGAATACATTATACCCATAAAATCCTGACATATTTGGCAATACACACAACAAAATATTTACAAGTAGAGAATATAATAAATGTATGACACTTTAGAAATGCATTGAGATAAGTTTAAACAGTGTTTACTTTTAATTGGTGTGCTTTCTTTCATCTCACAGTAATAAGCTATGGTTTAGTTTATCGGCTGAATACTCACTATGCAGTCCTTTGTAAAATTTTGGAGGTCCGCAGTAATGTGATTATTGAGCTTCAACAGAATACACAGAAGATCCCAGGAACCACAGACTAATCCATCCACTATGCAGTATCTAAAGTATTTGCAAAAATAAAAACAAACAACAACAAAAAAACACCTGAACAATTGACTCGTAGCAAAACTATCAGGTTAGTGCAAAAGTAATTGTGGTTTTGCCATTGAAAGTAATGAAAGTAATTGAAAGAATAGGTGTTCTAGCTGGACATTCTACAATGCATGCCACAACCATGGATCAATTGTGTATTGAAAACCCAAACCAACTGAGGATCACTGCTGTGCATTATTCCCATCGTGTCATAATGTGGCAAACTAAAACTAAGGACCCATAACAAGGGATTTTCAGAGGGAAAGCAAACATATTGGTTAAAGCAAACAAAACTGGCAATTTTCAATTTGCTCAAACTATTCACATAGTTTGTATGCTTCTCTACAAAATACAGAATTTTGATATAATTACCCTTAGGTAAAACTCTAAAGTGAGCAGCTTCTGATCAATAGGCCTCAACTCCTTTTCCCTTCTGTATCACAGACTGTGTGGGTGAATCCAACACATGACCTAATACGATTTGGCCAGTTGGGAAAGGTCTCTTTAAAGAACTAACCCTCAGGCTGGGATCTAGAGCAAAGCACCGTAAACTTGAATGTGCATAGGAACCACCTGGGGACCTTGTCAACATGCAGATTCTGATTCATTGGATCTAGGGTGGTGCCTGAGCTCTAGCAAGCTCCCAGGGATGCCTATGTGACTGCCTTGGACATCAGTTACAGTAGCAAGAATATAAGCAGATACCAGCCAACAAAGCAGGAGTGAACGCATCACGGCCCAGGCAGCCCTGGACCAGGCCAGCTCAGGGATCTGAGAAAAGAGTAACTGGACTGAGGTCTATGAGTGCTGCCATGAGAGGTGAGGCTGAGAAGGTGGACAAGATCTAGGTCAATGTGTTAAGTTCCTACTAAATGCAAGGCTAGGCTCTGCATAAACAGAAACAAATAAGGCAAACCTACTCCTTGCATCTTTAGAGCTTGTGGTCTAGCAGAATTACTTCATGGGTAGAAAATCATTAAAGATTTTTAAATGAAGGAGAGACATGATCTAATTGAAATTTTTGATGAACCTCTCTGGGTGTGCCATAGAGAAGGTATTGGAGAGGCAAAAAGTTGGAAAGAGGAGTATATGTTTGCAGACCAGGTGAAACATGCGGATGACAGAAGTGGATAATTTTAGCACATATTTTGAAGGTGAAATAACAGGACTTGGTTGCAAGTTGTGATGGTAGGGGGGTGGCAGGAAGAAGAAAGCATCAAGGATGATGATGCTTTCTGGAAGAAGCAAATGGGTAAATGGAGATAATTTTTACGAAGAATGGTAAGGCTGAAGAAGAAATAAACTAACAAAAGGGAAATGATTGAGGAAGTGGCATAGATTTGGGGGCAGAACTCAAGAGTTTTGAATTCTGATTTTAGGAATGCCTATGAAAATCCCAGTGGAGATTTCAAGATGGCAGGTGCACATAATGTTTTGGAGCTTGGGAGGAGAGCTCTGTAGGAGCCATATGCATATAAACAGTATCTAAAGCCATAGGAATTAATAAAACCTTGTCTAGAGTCTGTGTAGGCACGGGCGTCCAATCTTTTGGCTTCCCTGGGCTGCACTGGAAGAAGAATTGTCTTGGGCCACACATAAAATATACTAACATTAACAATAGCTGATGAGCTAAAAAAAAAAACATAAAAAAATCTATAATGCTTGACGAATGTTTACAAATTTGTGTTGGGCTGCATTCAAAGCTGTCCTGGGCCACACGTGGCCCACAGGCCACAGGTTGGACAAGCTTAGTATGGAATAAGAACAGAAGAGGACCCAGGATTTAGGAACTTCAACATTTAAAGTTTGGGCAAAGAGGCAGGAGCTGATAAGAAAATAGTTCAAGCTAGAGGAAGAGATCAGGGGTCTACTCTACTGAATGTTTCTGAGACGCCATTGGACTTATATATTACATAATATGTACAATATATGTTACTTGGGTGATGGATACCCTAATAGCTTTGAACTGACCACTATGCACGGAACAAAACTGCACCTGTATCCCGTAAATTTTATATAAACAAAAGTAAATAAATAGAAGGCAGGAAGGGAGAAGGAGAAGGAAGGAAGGAAGGATGGAAGGAAGGAAAGAAGGAAGGAAGAAAGGAAGGAAGGAAAGAAAGAAGGAAGGGAGAGCGAGGAAAGGAAAGGAAAGGGAAGGGAAGGAAAGAAGGAAGGGAGAGTGAGGAAAGGGAAGGAAAGAAGGAAGGGAGAGCGAGGAAAGGAAAGGAAAGAAAGGAAAGGAAAGGAAAATAAATGAAAGGGAGGGAAGGAAGGAAGGAAGAAAGGAAGGAAGGAAGGGGGAAGAGAGAGAAAGAAAGAGAGAGAAAGAAAGAAAGAAAGAGAAAGGAAAGAAGGAAGGAAGGAAAGAAAGAGAAAGAAAGAAAAGAAAGAAAGGAAAGAAAGAAAGAAAAGAAAAGAAAGAAAGAAAGAAAGAAAGAAAGAGAAAGAAAAAGAAAGAAAGAAAGAAAGAAAGAGAAAGAAAGGGAGAAAGAGGAATAGTGTTCATGATGTTTATGAATCACCAATTCTGGGGGCACTGAATTGTGTCCCCCAAGATTCCTATGTTGAAGAGCTGATCCCCACTGCCTCAGAGGGGACTGATTTAGAGAAGGCCTTCAAAGAGGTAAGTGAGGTCAAATGAAGCCGTATGGGTGGACCCTAAACCAATATGGCAGGTGTCCATCTAAAAAGAGATTGAGACACAGGCAACACAGCCTGAGGACACAGCAGGAAGGGAGCCGTCTGCAAGGCAGCAGTTCTCAGAAGAAGGCAAACCTGCTGACATTCCATCCTGGATTTCCAGTCTTCAGAGCTGTGAGAAGATAAACCACTCAATCTGTGGCAGCTTGTGATGGAAGCCCCTAGCACTCTTATATGGTGACCTTAGCACAAGCAGTTTAACAGGCTTGGTGAAAGTGAAAGCCAAACTGACCTGAATAAAGAGTGAAAGGAAAAGGAGCAAAAGGAGACAGTAAGTGTGGAAAATCCTTGAGGAAAATTTGCCAAGAAAGGAGGAGATGGCTTGATAGCTAGAAAGACATAGAGAGTCAAAGGTAAGGTTTCTCCAAGATAGAAGATTTTTTTAAATGAAAAATTTATATTTAAATGCTGACAGAAGGCATCAAGGAGGAGAGAGATTGAAGATGCAGTTGACAAATGGAAAAGCAATGAACAGAATCCCTGAAAAGTCAGGAAAAGAAGGGAGATTATTAGAGGGATGTCCTTTTACAGTAAGAAGAATACTTCCTCCACCGCCCCAGGATTTAAAAAGCTTATAAATGACAGGTAACATTCTACCTAATTATAGAGCTTTACACTTTTCAATAAATTTTGTTGTACATGATACAGTCACTCTGTGAATTCAGTGAGACAGACAGTTATCCACATTTTACATAAAAAGAAAGAAAAGGCAGAAAAGAAGTGATTTGCTTGAAGTGACACAGAAACGGCTGGTAGAACCATGCACTGTGTAGATGGCAGGGCTCCTGACTTCTCATTTCACACCACAAATGTAGACAGAATTAGATATAATGACAGTTATTATATTTTTAAACCTTTCAAATAAGAATATCCTTAGATTTTCATTCATTAACAAAGCACGTGATTAGCATCTGAAAATGTTTTATTATACGATCACTAGACACCAAAAGAGGTTTCCATTTTCCTGTGTATTTGAAAGAGTTCAACAGCCCTAAGTCACACAGTTGGAGGAAACTCAAACAAGAGAAGGTTCGTTTGAAGTGATGAAATTAGCATGATGAAGTTTACAATACAAAGATTTTTGTTTCAAGACTCTGAGGTTTGGTAGGGAGGAAGGGGAAAGGCAGATGACACCAAATAGGACTGGTTGGAGAGGGGATGAGAAGCATCAATTAGAAAGCTCTTCAAATTCAAATGGACTGTTCAAACCATCCTAGGACTAGACTCCAATTGGGAAAGACTCTGAAGAAAATGATCTCCTACTCCCACGAGATGGCTAACGTGATTTAGGTAAAAAGCTTTTAGTTTTATGGCTGGGGAGGTAGCAATAAAGAAAATGAACTTCCTGCCAGTGATTCTTTGTCAAGCCCTGCCAATTTCTGTGTCTGGGGAAGCTATAAAGAATGTCCAGCCTCATGTCAAAAGAATTGCCACAGATCTCCAGCCTGCCTGCATTCAAGCATCGAAACATCCCTAAGCCTGTTCCCAGGCCAGCCTGGAATTGAGAATCCAGGAGAGTCTTTTCTGTTCTGCTGCTGCAGCTACACTATCTGCTTGTTAGCATAACCAGGGCCACCAGCAATAGATGCTAGAGAAATACACAGAGAAAAAATCAACAGCTGATGAAAAGCAGAATCTTTTCTTTTTGGCAGCAATACCAATAGCATGAAGCACATCCCTTTTGGAGCTTTCCAAACCACTTCAAAAGCGAGTTTTCTGGTGTGGATCAAGAAAGCTAGGCAAATTGCCCCTGAGGGCATAGCCACTGGCCAAGATATTGATGAGTGTAGGCAGCTCAGGACCCATCCTCGGCCCCGGTGCTGTCTTTCTCAGAGCTCTGTTTAATTCCATCAGGCATGGGCAGCGTTTGGAGAAAGCTGTGTTCATTTTTGTGATCTTCAGCCAGCACGGAGGTGGCCAGTTCCCTAGCCTCCCAGCACCGTCCTCCTCCTGCCCTGCCCCTTCATGGCCTGCCTGGGCTCACTGGACCCACACTTGCCTTTCACCCCTGTCAAAGCCTCACAGTCCTGTGTGTCTGTTTCCCTTTGAACTACACAAACTAACTAATTTGGTGAACCCATTAAGTGAACTTCTTTATACTCATGGTCTAGAGTGCATTGAACGCTAAAGGGTTTGCTAGAGATTGTCAAAATCAATTCTGTCTTCTTCCAACTGGACCAAGGCTTCTTTGAGTTAACAAAACTGAGAAATCTGAGTTGATTTTTCGTAGTACCTCTTTCTATTCTTTTGGGGTTTTTTTGTTTGTTTTTTACTTATCATGGAGATTTTCCTTAATTTAACCCAAAAGATATACCCATATGACATTTGAACTAATATGAAAGAGGTAGTAGGACAAAGAATTTGAAGACAGCCTTTCAGAGCCCCACAAAGTACTTGAAGTTTATCAATAAACCCCTCCCAGTGTTTCCCACCATGTTCCACATTCCATCTCCATTTTTAGCCATGCAGCTTCAAGTGGCATCTCCTCCTGTGAAACCTACAGTTTGGAGATAAATTATTGATGACTAATGACTTAGAAGAACCAAAGAAAGGATCCTCTAGTGGAGACACAGCATAGAAATGGTGGTCCAGGGTGAGACAGAACTGCTTCCAATCCCAGTGCCACCTGTGTGGTTCCAGCTGTGTGCTGCTCTTCCTCTAATCTTGTTTACTCGTCTCCAATACGGGACTAATAACATATACATCAGACTATTGTGAGGGTTGAATGTAACAATATTCCAAATTGTTGCATGTGTCCAGTACTTAACACAGTGCCAAGAACAAAGCATGTATCAGTAAGTATGAATGGCCTTCCCAGCGCACACCTCCAAACAGTGGATTCTGGCCGATGACAGGCAATGGTTCCCCGCGGTCCTACAGGCCACGGTTTAACTTACCACTAGCCAATCAGTAAGTTTGCCTCAGACCACATCACGATTCTTTTGCAAGCCTGGAGCTTGGTGAAAAACAAGGGGGAAAATAATCCATGTCCCTAAGGCAGATGCTGAAAGATTTACCTCATAACATAATTCTCTCACCAGACTTGTTTCCTGAATGTCCATTTAAATTTTAATTCTGCAAATAAAATAAAATTGGTAATAATGAAAGTGATTAAGATGGTATTTGTCCAGGGAACCAATCTCCCCACAAGATACCTAAGAAAGAGATATATGTACAGAAAATGAAGCACAGTAAAATACCACTTCATTACTATCTGGAGATTTTCCCCAAACACAGAGAAAGCTCTACAGAGCTGAGCTTAAGGCAGAAGAACTCTGTTATTTACTTGGTCTAATGCCAAAACAGGCCAGAGACCCCTCTCACTTACTTCTCTTTAATCCCAAACCCATGTCTCAATTTGGTCTAAGAAAGAGCCGAACACCCAGGAGGCACCAGGGTAGAGAAAAGCAGCCAGCCAGAGAGTGACCTCCATGCCAGGGGAGTGTGTCTGAGCTTTGTTTTATTTTTCTTATTTGTCTGTAGTTGTGTGATTGGTAGAAGAGAGTAGATATGAAGTCTACTGACACAGGATTGGTCTTCAGGCATGTCTTACCAAGCATAGGGGTTCCACAAATAAGAGAGCAATGATCAGACTTTCTTCTAAAAGGAGCAGCCACAAGCTACCTTAACTCTCCAACTTGCCCATAAATCTTCACCTACAGTTAGGAAGATTTCACCATTAGCTGTGGCCCATAAAAGATCCTTAAGCTTGACCAACCACAGAGGTCCATCTCCTTGAGGAGGAAGTGAAAGGGGTATGGACAGAAGCTGTGAGCTTTCTGTCCTCCACAGGCCCCCAGCTGTGTCTTCTACTTCTTGTACAAGATAGTCTCCAAATGATGTTTTCTGGCAGACAATGCCACAGAACTGATCCTTATCTCACTATGGAAATGAAAGATTTCAAAGAATTTGTTGCCTGAAATATGGTGCCCTAATCACATATTAATAAAGCTGCTATCCAGGAAGAAGGCAGATTTCAAAAGAAAGGCTGTTAGCCTTCTCAGGGACCTAAAAAGTACATATTGTAGAACAATGGTAAATAGATCTTGGAATCAGGTAGACTTTAATTCAAGCCCCAGCTATGCCAGTTATTAACTTATGTGACATTGGGAAAGGCTCTCAAATTTAGTTTTGCAAAATCAGAATAATATAGGTAGCCAACAAATAGGGTTTAATGGAGGTAATAATGAAGGTGATTAAGATGATAAAATTAAATAATGAATATAAAGTGCTTAGCATGTAATAAATTTTATTGTATGATTTCAAAGCACATGCTTTACCTACAGTGCTATAAAGCTGCTTGCAATAGTCAAAGCTAATAGAAGCTCTAGTCAGAGCTAATAGAAGCCTTGTGTATATAATTATTTAAGAATTCTGTAAATATACATAATAGGGTAGGAATGAGAAAATCTTTAGAGGAAATATTCAAATATGCTTGGTTTCTAGCAAATCCAGATAGACCGTTTTGGCAACAACCAAGTCATAATTTTAAGTCTTGTTATAGGAGCTAGAATTTTATTCAAGGGGCAACTGATTTGATTAGATAAGATGCTGTGGACTGCATGTTTGCATCAACAAATGCACATGTTGAAACTCTAACAATAGAATGGCATTAGAAGGAGGACCTTTGGGAAGTAATTTGGTTTTGATGAGGATGGAGTTCCCACGATGGGGTTAGCATCCTAATAAGAAGAGAAGGAGACTAGAGCCCTCTTCTCTCAGCCATGTGAAGATACAACAAGAACACCTGCAAACCAGTAAGAAGGCCTTCACCAGACACTGGCTCTGCTGGCCCAGATTTTAATCTTTGATTTCTCAGAACTGTGAGAAACAAGTATGTGCTGTTTAAGCCACTCAGTCTACAGTTGTTTGTAACAGCAGCCTGAGCAGACAAAGACATAGGGTTCCTTTTATTTTCAGAATTCGGTTTAGCTGTAATCACCTACCATCCTGAAATGCTGTTTCCTCCTTCTGCCCTTGAAATATAAGCTCTGGGACTACAGCTTCATGGACAAATTCTGAAGAATTTGTCTCTGCTCCTGTGGGATGCTAACCTAATCAATCAAGGAATGTTTGCTCAATGGAATGAAACATCTTAATGCAGCTTGCCAGCCAATATCTGCAGAGCACACCTCATGGGTTCTGGCTGGCTTGGATTTCTGAGACTACTTCATCCTACCCATCAGACTGTGGACTCAGATTCAGCCAGAAGGCCTGATTCTAGCGTCAGTTTTGCCTTTGGGATATAAATGCATGCCCTACTTCACTGAACATGAAACCCTGAATATTTGGCCATTACTCTGGCAATTGCCCTCCCTCCCTGTGCCAATTGCCAGTCAACCCAACTCCCAGGCAGCCTTGGCAGTTATGTCTGCTCGGCCTGCTGTAGCAGCCAATGACTTAGTAAAAGTCAGAACATAGATCTGCTAGCTCCCAGTCCAGGATTTCCCCTTAACTCATCCATGTATATATTAAACAACTAGGCTTGCTTTTAAATTCTTTTTCATTTAGCCTCTTCTTAGAACTGATCATTTTGAGAATCCTGACCTGCCAATATTCCATAATCTTTCTAAAAGTGACACAGCAAATACGACGCATGCACAGTGCTAACTGCAGCTGATTTCATTTTTCCATCATCTATAAAGCACATAAGGTAATTTCTAAACCAGCAGTAAAATCTATTTATAAAGAATGCTGATTTGTTTTCTGCACTTTCCAACACAGAGCTTCAATTTATTTCCTTACCATAAAAAAACCATTACTTTTTAAAACAATCATAGTTAGTATATTTTATAAATGTTTTAATTTTTGTAAAGTCCAACTTGCAAATTGGAGTGTAAATAGCTTTCTTAAAATGGAAGGAACCGTGTTAGACCCAGTATGCTGACTGATTTCACTGTGCTTCAAAGCAGACGATTTCACAGTCATTCGGTAATGAGTTTTTATAAAGCAATTGATATCACTAAAAATATAATTATAATAAATAAAATTATAGGAAAAAGGAAATCTTCATTCAGACAATGCCAAATTTTTTAACTCATTGCTAAAAGATTATGTTTGTACATGAAAAATTTTACACATTCTTTCTATGAGATAAACCTGATAACACCTTGAAAACTTAATAGTTATGGAAAAGGAACTACTGTGATATTTTTTAGAGAATGTCGTGTTCTTGATGTTCTTGAGTGAGCTGTCTCATGTTATTAGAAGGGAAACAGCACCACCTTGTGGGGAAACAACACCACCTTGTGGACAAACAAAGAAAGTGAATGAAATTTTAGGGCCGGGTGCTTAATCCCAGCACTTTTGGGAGACCTGGGAGGAGGGTAACTTGAGCCCAAGAGTTCAAGACCAGCCTGGGCAACACAATGACACACCCATCTTTACCAAAAATTTGAAAAATTCGCTGGGCTTGGTGGCTCACACCTCAGGTCCCAGCTACTTGGAAGGCTGAGGTGGGAGGATCGCTTAAGCCCTGGAGGTCAAGGCTGCAGTGAGTGTGATCATACCACTGCATTCCAGCCTGGGTGACACGGCAAGACCCTAGCTCAAAAAAATTATGTTTATGTAGCACTTCCTACAAGGAATATAGTATCTTGTTTGTATTTAAATGACATCGGGACCAGCATGGTGGCTTACAGCTGTAATCTCAGCTCTTCAGAAGGCAGAAGGCAGGAGGATCACTTGAGGCCAGGAGTTGGAAGACCAGCCTGGGCAGCATAATGAAATAATAATAATAGTAATAAAAAGCTAGGCGTGCTGGCACACACCTGCAGACCTAGCTACTGTGGAGGCTGAGTGGCAGGATCGCTTTGAGACCAGGAGTTTGATTGTACTGCGTATTGTGAGCTACGATCGAGCCACTCCAGTCCAGACAACACGGCAAGACCCAGTCTCTAAGCAAAATAAAGGGACATCAGAGCATTGCTTACAGAGATTTATAAATGATCCCAAAATGTCTTCAGGGAGATAAATTATCTAAATATAGCTATATGGACTCTTCCTAAATTCCAAATTTGGGTGGAAAAATAAATGAGATAGAAGACTTCTTGAAATGTATCAAGACTCAGAAAGACAAAACAAAAACTTTCATTAGGCAGCTAAAGAGGAAATCCCAGCGACAAGAAGCCAAAGGAAAGGGAAAAGAAATGACAACAATGACCATACTTTCTACACATCCAACCTCTTCTCTACCACCACTCAGCAAGACCTCCCACAGCCAATCACTGCCTTCTCTTGTGGACTTACCCTCTACTCTGTGAACACATGAGCCAGAGAACCCTGAGAAGTCCCTGGGTCCCTTCCAGGGGCTCTGCAAGGTCAAAACTCTTTTCATAAAAATACACAGGTTTTGTTGACCTTTTCCAATTTCATTCTCTCACAAGTATAATTGGAGTTTCCCAGAGGCTACCTGACGTGGGATGTCACAAGAAATTAAATGTAGAAGCAGAAAGGAGAACGAAGTTTTCTTCTATTAAACCAGACATTAAAGACATACTTAAAAATATAAAACAATGTCAATGTTCTCACCAACTTTACTGTTTAAAAATGATAACTTTAAATAAAAATGTGATTTATGTAAACATATAAGTATATTTTTTTAATTTCTCAGCTTTAATGTTTAATATGATAAATATAGATAGATATAATCCAAGTAAATAAAAGCTCTTTGGGGTCCTCAATAACTTTTAAATGTAAAGTGGTCCTGAAACCAAAAATTTGAGGACAGATGCTCTAAAGCTCATACTCTCTGATGTAGCTTCCACCCAGGTCATTTCTTAAATACTTGATCAATCATTTCCCATGTCCCTCACCCTATCCTTGTTGCAAAATTCCATTTTCCTACTCTAGCCCTCCCTGTCATGAGAAAGTTCCCAGGTTGTAGACATTATTTACTAAATATTTCTTAACAGCTTTATGATGATAACATGACATATAAAAATTGTGTAAATTTAAGGTAACTTAATGTTTTGATATTTTATACTTTTTGAAATGATCACCACAATCAAGCAAATTAGCATATTTATTATCTCTACATATTTACCATTGTGTGTGTTGACAGTAATTAATTTATGATCTAGTCCTTTAGCAGAACACAAGAATATGACACAGTGTTGTTCCATGTTGTACATTATATCTCCAGAAATTATTATAACTTGAACTTTGTACAATTTAACCAACATCACCCCGTTTCCCCTCCCTGAGCCCCTGGCAACCACTGTCCTATTCTCTGTTTTTATGAATTTGACTGTTGTAGATTCCTCATGTAAGTGAGATCATGAAGTATTTTTCTCTGTGTCTTGCATTTTTGCTTGGTGCAATATCTTCCAGCTCCATCCATGTTTTCACAAATAGAAGGATTTCCTTCTTTTTTAAGGTCGGATAATATTTCATTTTATATATACATGCCACATTTTCTTTACCCATTCATCTGTTCCTCTGCCAAAGGACATTTAGGTTATTTTCATATTTTGGTCATTGTGTGTCATGCTGCAATGAACAGGGGATGACAGACACCTCTCTAAGACTCTTATGTCAATTTCATTGGACATATATCCAGAAGTGAAATTATTGGATTGTGGCAGTTCTTTTTTTTATTTTTGAAATGGGGTCTCACTCTGTCATCCAGGGTAAAGTCCAGTGGCAAGATCATAGCTCACTGCAGCCTTGAACTCCTGGGCTCAAGGGATC